>NC_000012.12:125889263-126190887 GCF_000001405.40 Homo sapiens | reverse complement strand
GCGCGATCTCGGCTCACTGAAACCTCCGCCTCCTGGGTTCAAACGATTCTCCTGCTTCAGCCTGTCGAGTAGCTGGGACTACAGGCGCCCGCCACCACGCCCAGCTAATTTTTGTATTTTTGGTAGAGACGAGATTTCACCACGTTGGCCAGGATGGTCTCGATATTTTGACTTTGTGATCTGCCCGCCTCGGCCTCCCAAAGTGCTGGGATTACAGGTTCGAGCCACTGCTCCCGGCCAGGAGTTCTTAAATAAAGGTTTCTTCAAGAAAGGGACTGGAGAGTGGGGATGGAATAAGCAGTAATTCTTCTTGACTGCAGGAGGTAGAATGCAGCAGAGAAACTTCTTCAACGAAAAAGATTAACTGTAAAATATTGATTCTTACAGTTCTAGATGATAGCAGAAAATGATTTTTTTAATGAATTATGCAAATCTCTCAGTTCTCCACTACAGATGGCCACTCCATATCTCCACTACAGATGGCCGCTGCCACTACACTTTAGTGTCAGGGACGATTACTTTTGCAACCCAAGAGACTGGAGAATTTTTCTTTTTACGTCAAGCTGAATGTATTTCTAGCCTCTCAAGATGAGTGAGAATTAAAACGTATTCCATTGTTACTGACTGAGAGATTGGGATCTGCTGGGCCTTCTCCTATAGCTGTTTAAAACAATAATAGTATTTTTAGAAGCCAGGAAATTCTCCAGCAGCTGATCTACTTTCTCTTAACAGTTTCACGACTCGCAGCTGGCCTCTCCACCTCCCCAACCCGCCGCCCCCCTCCGCCACACACCTTTCCACACAGAGGAGCCAAACACAAGTCCTGGACCAAAAATACAGTGAGGAAATCGTCAGGGAAGTCCCAGCCTGGCTGACGTCACATAGCTGGGGAGTCCTGGCTGAGAGAGGCTTCCTTTGCTTTCTCTGTCCCTACCCAATCTCACTCCCTCATGTGTGGCTAAAGAGAATACTATTTACTCGCCGTTTATTGTGGGCGATGCACTTTCTATTATTTTGTTTATTTAGTTAGTTATTTGCTTACAGTCTGTCCTGAATGCCTCTGTCTGCCCCTACTCCCCATCCAAAATGTAACCTCCGTGTGTTTGACTTTCTAAGTGCTCAGGCCTGAATTCTCAGAACCTTAAACCGTGCCCGGCACAGTGTATCCACTCAAACAATTGTCAAAGGAATGGATCTTGTGTATTTGCAAATTATCATGACCCATTTTACCAATGAGGAAATCTAGATTGAGAAATGGTAAGGGAAGATCAGCTAGTGGTAATAATGATGATGACGATGAAAATATTTACTGAACATTTGCTTTGAGTAGGGCATTATCTGAAATGTAACACTTGGGTTAAATCATCATGTTACAGGAAAGGGGTCTCGATCCAGATGCCAAGAGAGGATTCTTGGATCTCACACAGGAATTCAGGAAGAGTCCACAGTGCAAAGCAAGAGCAAGCTTATTAAGAAAGTTAAGTGGTAAAAGAACAGCTACTCCATAGACAGGTAGGGCATTCCCAGAAGTAAGAGGAGGAACGCATCCACCCTAGGTAAAATACTTGTTTACATACAGGATTAAAAAAGATCATGGGGAGATGTGCTCTGCTACAAGGATTTATGATAAAGGATTAATTTTCTTAATTCCTATATTTTGCAAGATTGATATTATGATTTTTAAAGCAAAATTAGCAATGTTTCTGTTCTCAAAGATATCGGGATATCAGGACTCTCAAGTCTGGGTCTGTTTAGTAATGTTATCCATCTGTTCCCTTAACCATATACATCTAGAGGCTAGGGATACCTAACTTCCTGGGAATGCAGCCCAGGAAGCCCCAGCCTCATTTTCTTAGCCCTCACTCAAGATGGAGTTGCTCTGGTTTGAACACCTCTAACAATAAGTCTTCATAAACAGCTATGGGTATACACTCTTATTATACCTATTTCACAGGCAAGAAAGGAGGCGTAGTAACTTGCAATGCCACACTGCTAGTACGTGGTGGAGCTGGAATTCAAATGCAGGTGTTCTGCCTTCAGAGTCCACATCTATAACTCCTTCAGTAGACTCATTTGTGCTAGGAAGTGTCTGGAATTCATGACCCTCCCTTATACCAGGTGTCTTGATGATCTGTGTTGCCTATCCCTTCTAGGTTGTCCTTCTGTGTCAGGTCTTACCTGCTAGACTTTTCTACTTCGAGCAAAAGGAGGAGAAGCATTGATTGATCACTTCTACTGCACAGTGCAGAAAAGCACACAGAACAATTTCCTCTCAGGGCTGAGATCTACACTAAAGTTATCCTCTGTAAATGTCAAGCTACCCAATTTTTTTTTTTTTTTTTTTTTTTGAGATGGATTTTCACTCTTGTTGCCCAGGCTGGAGTGCAATGGCATGATCTCAACCACTGCAACCTCTGCCTCCCCAGTTCAAGAGATTCTCCTGCCTCAGCCTTTAGCCCAGCTTCCCTGGCAGCTTTTGCCCTATGTTATTAACTTTTCTGATTGATATCCAAATGCCTATTCTTGTCATTTAGACTGGTCCCCTCCTGGCCACTGCGTGAAGTACTGGTTTTAGTAGAAAATCTGTAGTCTGGAGTGTTCACCTACCACATTCCGCTCTGGGCTCAAGATCATAAAACCATCCATTTAGTGCCAACATTAGCATGATAATGCTCAGATTCTGTTACAAATGGAATTAATTCATCACATAGCCATTCTGTTTATTCAGTTTTCACACATCACGATAAGAGCTAACACTCAAGTGGCCCTTCACATGAGCTTGCTTTGCATGTATTGAGTCCATTTAATCCTCACAGCAACCCTATGAGGTTACTATTTTTATTATTCCTTTTTAAAGGTGAGAGACAGACATGAAGGAGTTAAGGTTTATAAAAATAGTAATTGGAAGACATAAAATTCAAACTCAGGCAATTTGGCTTTAGAGGCCACATTTCAAACCACATCACTAGTCTGCCTCCCTGTGTGCGCTCCTAAAAATATGAGACCCAAACTCAATTTATCAAAAAACACCACGTTTTGGTAAACTTTTTTTCTTTCACGAAACCACATTTAATGCACTTCATTCCAGCAGGATCATAGTACTCTGATGAGATGGGTTTATTTGTTTTGCACTTAATTTATGATATGTATTAAGTGTAAGTCACAGAGAACACAAAATTTGGGGTGGAAACACAAAAAGGATTGTGTTATGAAAGAACTAATTAACCCCACATGACTCAAGGCCAGAGTGGTCACTCAGAGGTCATTTTCCATCGCCACAGTGGTAGTGACAGCAGAATTGGCTCACATGGTCTGTGTAATAACAAACCAGACAGAATATTCCATGTTTTCTGTTTCCTCTTTCTTTATCTCTGGAGCTTTGTTGGTTTCTACCACCCCCAGTGCTAGTCTCCCGCCATGCCACCACATGGCTGTGCCTACACATCCTCCTGAACATGCTCCTATTCTCAGAGGCCAGAGCCAATCAGTTACTTACAATCCACAAAGCAGAAATTGCACTAGGCAAAATTAAACAGACTTGTTTAATGCATGACTTGTGCAATAGGAGAGAAGGGCCAGAACTTAGACTGAGCTCAACTCAGCTAAAACAAAGGTTGTGAGGATTTTTAAATATGAGAGTAAAGGGGAAAACACAGGCCGTCTGTGTTTGCTCTTTGAATAAAAAAAAAATTAAGAAAATCAAAGAGCAAACTTTCTCCTGTCTTTGTAACAGGAGTGAGTTTTACAGCTTAGAGCGAGACTCCCACCCAAGCTAGGATCCTTTTCTCCCACAGAGACTGGGAGATGGGACTTTATCTTCCTGGATGATCTTATTTCAAATCAATGGTTCCCAGGTCCTTGAGAAAGATATTGCTGGATTATAAAACTGGCAGGAGACTTTATAAAAGATTTACATCTCAAAGGGGCAGAAAAAGAATGTACAATTGCATGTTTTCTAAAGTAAATGCTCTATAAAAAGGGAGGGAAGGGGCCTCTGTGTTTGGGCCACCTGGGTTCTGTAAGGTCTGGGTGAGAGGAAAAAAGCCTAGAGTCAGGACGGTCTGGATAAGGTTTAATCAAGCTGAGGAGGACATTAACCCTGTCTAGATTACAGCGGACAACATGGAACACAGCCGTCATAACTAGATCAGGTTCTAGGACCTGAGCCAGGGTTAAATCTTAAAGTATTAATCTGTGTATTTTTAGGAATATTTCCTTTTTGTTGTGTTTCTTACATGTATCCCAGAAGGCATCTTTCCCTCCCACACCACACACAGAAGAGGAAATAAACATTCAAAAAAGACATATATTTGAGACAGAAAATTCCAGATGCCTGTTGGTGGAGTGGCTTTTTTGATTCCAAAGACGGGAAATAGAAGAGCTGGAGGAGCAGGTAGTTGCAAAGAAGAGGAGAGACTAAGAGGAGAAGGGAAAGCAATGAAGAGCCTGGGAGGGCCCCAGGGATAGAAGTCCCTAATGGAGCGGCAGCATGTAAGCTACTCAACACTGAGCTATCCTTGAATGGGGCCCCCTCTGCCCCGTTGTCCTGTGACCTGTGGATGTTTTCTCACCAGCAGTCTCAGACAGAGACAAGTGCTGTCAACAGAGGGGTGAAGAGTTTAGACATCTTTGGAGGTTTGGGGATGTGAACAGAAAACTTTTTCAGGAAAGATGGCTCATGCCTATAATCCCAGCATTTTGGGAGGCTGAAGTGTATTGCTGGAACCCAGGAGTTGAAGACCCACTCAGGCAACATAGTGAGACCCCAATTCTACAAAAATAAAATAAATAGCTGAGTGTGGTGACGTGTGCCTGTATTCCTAGCACTTTGGGGGGCCAAGGCAGGAGGATAACTTGGGGTCAGGAGTTCAAGACCAGCCCGGTCAACATAGTGAGCGCCCATCTCTACCAAAATAGAATTTAAAATGTAGCCAGGCATAGTGTGTTGTGTGCCTGTAGTCCCAGCTACCTGAGAGACTGAGGCAGGATCCCTTGAGCCAAGGAGTTTGAGGCTGCCGTGAGCTTACTCAAGCCACTGCCCTCCAGCCTGGAAAACAGAGAAAAAGCCTGTCAAAAAGAAAGACAACTTTGCTTTATGACCAAAGTGGAAATTCTACAGTAAACTGAGTAGAAATTGTCACACCTTCACTGTTACTTCTGCATTCCTGGGCTAGACTTCACCCACTCAAAAACAATAATGATGTCACTTGCTGTGGTTGTTTTAAAATTCAGTGTTAAAAGGACATGTGCAAGTTCGTAGAAAAGTTCATAGTGCTGTTCAAATATAATATCTGTACTAAGAAAGTGCTTACAAAATAAAACCTTAGTACCTAGACATAACAGAGATGTTCTGAGAAGATCATGCTGAGTCTTGTGAACATGTGAGATACTCTCCTAATCAAAAGCAATCATTAATTGATCTCCAAGTCTGTTTACTCAAGTAGGTCAAACACTTTTCATAAAATCCTACTCAATTTTTAGCAAACCCTCTGGTTATACAGTAAATCAACATCCTAGTTTGCAATTACTGCAGCCTGGGTTAAGTGATTTTTACTGGATGAGAATTCTAATTAATGAAAACAATTCAAAATGTGTGTCAGTATCTTAGGATAGTGATAATCCTGGGCTATCAAGTGTGGGATTTCTGGGAGGTCAGGTGGTACAAAACAGATGGTGGGAAATGAGGCAGGTGGATTAGCGTCATGATTGAAACCAGCAATAATGTTAAATATAACCAAAATTGGCATAATAACTTTCAAGCATGATTACAGCTTTATTCCTCACATCCCCCAAATGGAAATACAACACACAAAAATTACACTTACCACTCTTAAATTTTTCAGTTGATATGACAGATGTTAAATATCCTCATCTCACGTGATGCTAAGACCTTGGCTACTTTATTACTTATACCTTGTTTCATAATATAGTACCTCTGAAGTCTCATCTCATTACAGCATTACAACATCAACTCAAAATCCAGAATCTCATCACCTCTGTCAGATAATGATGCCTGGCTCCCTACATGTGGTTCCCTAAATAAAGCTATTTGTGTGCAGTTTCTCTCAATTTTAAGGCTTTTGGAACTAAATATATAACTTGTGTTCCTGCCCCCATGCACCCAATGTACAAAGCTTAAGCAACTATAGAATAATCATTGCAGACACTCTTGCTTAAAGGGAAGGAAAATGAGATCCATAGGAGAGTAACTGTTGTGTAACAACTCTGAAATACAAGCAGAGGTATATTGGGAGTTTCTTGATTGGGGCCCAAGACCTGGGAATAATTCTCTATGGCTCCCAGCTCCAACTCTAGAATGGAGAAATCATGAAAGAAAGCATGGGTTTATAGCTGAGTTGTTTCCTAAAGCTTGCTTTCTACCTGTAGAATTTTGGGGATAAAAATGATGTATTTTATTTGATGTTCAAGGTGACAGTATTTCTGCTAACATGATTTTCTCAAACTCTTGTGGAACCCCTGTGAATCACACTGGTGTTCACTCCATCAAACAAAAGCTACCATCATGACAGTCTCTTTTTAATTTTTTTTTTTTTTTTTTTGAGACGGACTTTCTCTCTTGTTGCCTAGGCTGGAGTGCGATGGTGTGATCTCCTCGGCTCACTGCAACCTCTGCCTCCTGGGTTCAAGCGATTCTCCTGCCTCAGCTTCCTGAGGAGCTGGGATTATAGGTGCCCACCATCATGCCTGGCTAATTTTTGTATTTTTAGTAGAGACGGGTTTCACCATGTTGGCCAGGCTGGTCTTAAACTCCTGACCTCAGGTGATCCATCTGCCTCGGCCTCCCAAAGTGCTGGGATTACAGGCATGAACCACCATGCCTGGCAGAAATTCTTTTATATAAGATATAATCTCATAAATTTCACAGAAGCTCACTTGTGTAATAGGCAGACTCTAGACTTTTCTGAAGGGTCTTTTGCGTGATGGAATAGTGCTCTAATGTACCAGCTGTGAACTTTCTAAGGTCTTCACAAAGGTTCTTAGGTCAAATCCCCAGTTTCAACCCAAGAAAATATTTTTCTGCTAATGCTTTGAATTTCTTCTTTGCGTGAGAGCCATTTCTTAATTTTTGCAATCAGAATTAATGTTTGCAATCAGAAGAGATTGAGAATTTTAAACATCACTGAGCTCTGGCTATTATTTTTTAAAAGTCCTTCCCTCATTTTGTCTCTTCCTTCACACATTTTACAATAACTAGCACCTTCAACATTTTGCTTGGGAATGCCCTTAGCTAGATCATCAAGTTGACTAGGCACATTTTCTACTTTCCACATTGTTGAAGGTGTCAATTTTGCTAAGTTTCTGCCACAACATAACAAAAATTCCCCCGTTCTGCTTTCTAATAACATGTTTCTCACTTACTTCTAAATTCCCAGAGCCCAGAACCACAGGACTACAACAATCAATTCAAGGCAACCTAAGCCTTCGCTTATACGCTCCTCAAAATCATCTCGGCCTCTGCCTGCTCCTCGGTTCCAAGCAATGCTCATATTCTTATATTCTTTATGATTAGCATCTCACTTCCAGAAACTAACATATTAATTTTTTTATTGCTTCGTGAAAAATTACCTAACATCATAATGGCTTAAGAAAACAACGATTTGTTATTTTATCATTTCCACGGGAAGTTTAACTGGTTGCCTATGGCCCGAGATCTTCATCAAGGCTGCAATCAAGTTGTTGCTCAGAGCTGCAGTCATCCCAAGACTTGATCGGAAGGGATCTGCTCTCTCACTCACTTGCTCTGAGAAAATCAAGCTGCCATGTGCTAACCAGCCCAATAAAGAATCCCATGTTGCAAGAAAATGATGTCTCTGGCCAACAACCATGAGGACTTGCCAACAGCTGTGTGTAATTACAAGTTGGCTGGAAATAGAGTTTGAAACCATATTTGGAGGAAGATACATCGGTTTGGCCACCGGAAAGAAGTTAGGCTGCCTGAGATTTTGTTAACAAATGAAAAGCAAACAAAAGGGCACTGTGAAATGAGATAAAAACGTAAGTAGGGGAGTAACAGGTCTTCATGTAGATGTCCCAGAGCTGCCATCAGCCAAGCCTGTCCCAATGCCAGGCTGGGGCCTATGCTGGTCAGAGGCTTGGGCTCCTCCCATATTACAGAAACACATGGGAGCTATAAAATAAGCTTCCTCTAAGGTCTTATCAATTAGGGTCCCAGGAGAAAACAAATGCATGCTCAAATTGGGTAACTTAAAGACAGTTAAAGAGATTGTTTTAAAAGCAGAATAAGGCTGGGCGCAGTGGCTCATGCCTGTAATCCCAGCACTTTGGAAGGTCAAGGCGGGCAGATCACCTGAGGTTGGGAGTTCAAGACCAGCCTGATCAACATGGAGAAACTCCATCTCTACTAAAAATACAAAATTAGCCAGGTGTGGTGGTGCATGCCTATAATCCCAGCTACTCGGGAGGTTGAGGCTGAGACAGGAGAATCGCTTGAACCCAGGAGGCAGAGGTTGCGGTGAGCCGAGATCGTGCCACTGCACTCCAGCTTGGGCAACAGAGCGAGACTCCGTCTCAAAACAACAAACAACAACAACAACAAAAAGCAGAATAAGTATTTAATATGGTGAAATAAGAATAGCTGATCAGGGGCTAGTAAGAACGGGAAGGTTACATATATATCCTGTTCCTCAAGGGAAAAGAAGGGAATGGTTTCTAGAACCAGGAAAGGGGGTTTCTGGAAAGGTTTCTACAACCAGGAAAGGGGGGCTATTTGACAGAAGCCATGACCTTTGGCAAGAGGACACAGAATATCTCCAGGGACCTAAAGGGACAGAACTAGGGAAATCGACACCCCACCTTGATCTTCCCACTCGCCAATCTCCTGGAGATGTCTCTCTTGGGCCAAACCCATCAGGGAGCCAGAGAACAAGGAAGCTCATGATATTGTCCACACAGGTCAACTTCTCTGGACACAAGCAGGGTGCAGAGGGTGGAAAATTGATCTTGAAGGCAAATGGAAGATAACTAGCACTCCTTATGGCTGGTAGACACCACCTACGATAGGGAGGTAGACACAGGAACCAGACAGGTACAGACAAGTCTATCAGATTTATTAATGGTAGAACTCTATCAGAGGATGTCCCTGGCCTGTGCACACAGTCAGGTATCCTAAGTGGACCTCCCACCAGAACTCTGGCCTCTCCTGACAGGCACAGGCCATGCCAATACTCTTCCCCACAGAGTTGGGGAGAGGCCCGCAACTCTGAAAAGAAAGTGATGAATGGCTGTTCTGAACATGCTTAGTTCCTGATCCCAGGCTTAGCTGTCATGTCAATCACTCTCTTCAAGGGCAGAGATGAGGGATGCAGGGAGAACAAGATGGAAAGAGGCACTTACTATCCTCAGCATAAATGAGGAAGAAGCTCACTACAGGAAAGCAAAACAAAACAAAGCAAAACATGATGGAAATTGAATATCCTCCCTTCAAAACTTTACAAGGTGAAAAATGGAAGTTGTATGTGGTCAAGTGTTTATTTGAAAATCATTTTCCTTTCCTCCAGAACACAGGAATGTGCTTAATGTCACGGACAGCTCACACAGAGAGAGGCCTTCAGTTCATGCCATTCATGTGAAGGAACATGAGATTCACACCCCCACCCTCATCACACTCTGAGGCATTCGTTCACACCTCCACCCTCATCACACTCTGAGGCATGTATTCACACCTCCACCCTCATCACACTCTGAGGCATTCGTTCACACCTCCACCTTCATCACACTCTGAGGCATTCGTTCACACCTCCACCCTCATCACACTCTGAGGCATGTATTCACACCTCCACCCTCATCACACTCTGAGGCATTCGTTCACACCTCCACCCTCATCACACTCTGAGGCATGTATTCACACCTCCACCCTCATCACACTCTGAGGCATTCGTTCACACCTCCACCTTCATCACACTCTGAGGCATTCGTTCACACCTCCACCCTCATCACACTCTGAGGCATGTATTCATACCCCCACCCTCATCACACTCTGAGGCATTCGTTCACACCTCCACCTTCATCACACTCTGAGGCATTCGTTCACACCTCCACCTTCATCACACTCTGAGGCATTCGTTCACACCTCCACCCTCATCACACTCTGAGGCATTCGTTCACACCTCCACCTTCATCACACTCTGAGGCATTCGTTCACACCTCCACCCTCATCACACTCTGAGGCATTCGTTCACACCTCCACCCTCATCACACTCTGAGGCATTCGTTCACACCTCCACCTTCATCACACTCTGAGGCATTCGTTCACACCTCCACCCTCATCTCACTCTGAGGCATTCGTTCACACCTCCACCCTCATCACACTCTGAGGCATGTATTCACACCTCCACCCTCATCTCACTCTGAGGCATTCGTTCACACCTCCACCCTCATCACACTCTGAGGCATGTATTCACACCTCCACCCTCATCACACTCTGAGGCATTCGTTCACACCTCCACCTTCATCACACTCTGAGGCATTTGTTCACACCTCCACCCTCATCACACTCTGAGGCATGTATTCACACCTCCACCCTCATCACACTCTGAGGCATTCGTTTACACCTCCACCCTCATCACACTCTGAGGCATTTGTTCACACCTCCACCCTCATCAAACTCTGAGGCATTCGTTGAGTGGAAGAAAGAACAGAATCATCTGTCATACAAAATGTATCTCTCTCTCCCTTTCTCAGTAGGGAACATAAGAGTTAAATTTGTATAAGCTCAAATTTTGGTTCTTGTTGTTCACCGTATAATATAAATCCACTTCGGAAATAGATATGCATAGAAAAAGTCATAAAAAATGTTCACAAAATGTTAACAGTGCTAGAATGGGCAAAATATATCTGCTTTCTTGGACACTCTATCAAACATTTTTGGCAAGGAACATATCTTGCTTTTACAACTTAAAAATAAGTTAATAAATAGTTCTTACTTTATTACAGTTGACTTTCCATCTAGGAAGCTTAATGGAGGGTCTACTGGCACCACATTTTCTGGGACTCAGCTCCAAAAAGAGCCATTGAAGTCTATGTAGATACACAGACTAAAATACAAAGGATTGTAAAACCCAAAGCCCTGAAATTCCAAGGAGGATTTTGAATAGGCTGATGCCCTTGACTCTGCATGGAAGATGGTTACGATTTGCAACTTTTCTTTCCTTTAACCAGTTGGGACCTCAAACTTGATAGTTTCAAGAGAGACTCTAAATATACTGACTGTGGTTTTAAAAGACATTTTAAAAATCCATCCCAAATAATGACATTTGAGCAATCAAATTTATAACCACAGGATGGCAGCTCCAGGCAGGTAGGACCTTAACTGCAAAGTATTTTATTACCCTAGTCTTGATAATTATTTTTTTCTCAATCAATAAAGGACTCATATTATGCAAACACATTGAAAATAAACTATACCCACTTTATACTTGAAGTAAAAATGGAGAAAGTAAATGTATTTATTTCCCTCTTAATGTGTTCTGTCTGTTAGAGATCTCCATGCAGGAGCCAAAAGCAGGGAAGTTTCTTGAGACGTTATCTATCTTTGTGTTGTCGGTCAAGACCTATTAGTGGGTCATGAAACTGAATTAGTATGTTGCCATCAGCATTCAAAAAATAATATAAACTTCTAGTTTCAGCTGTGACATGTAAAGAACTTAGAAGTCTTGACTCCCATTCTTACAAAAAGTAAAAGGTGAATGAAGTTAACACCAGTAAATTTTTTCTAACCCATGGGACCTGAAGTTTCAGGGTAACCTTCACCCTAAAGTCTGGAGAGGGAGGTGAATGGAGAGAGTCATAGCCGAGATCTGCTTACTTGGGCAGAAGACTCTGGGTGCCATTAATTGGCATAAATACTTAAATGGCAATTCTGGTGGCTGAGTGTGGATTGTGTGAGAGTCAGAAACTGGGGTATATTACATGGGGCCAGATGCACCTTTTCATGGATTTTACTTCCAGAAATCCCTCTATATTCTTATGGTGAAGATCAGAGAAAAAATCCTCTAATGGCTCTGGCAGTGGGAGAGAAAGAATAATCATCGTGAAATATTTCCAGGGTGTTCCCCATAACAAAGAAATTATCTTCAAGAAAAATAATTTGCCAGAGCTCATTCCTGATGTGGGAAGGATGTTGCTTCCATGCCAACCCCCTAAGATCAGGAATAAGGCAAAGATGCCCCTTCTCACCACATCTACTCCACATTGTACTTGAAGGACTAAGGTAATAAGATAAGGAAAGGTTTTTAAAGGATATAGATTTGAAAGAAAGAAATAAAACTTTAAAACTGTATTTTCTCCCAAAGATGACATGGTTGTCTATGAAGAAAATTCCAAAGAATCAACAACAACAAAACACTCTTGGAATTAACAAGTGATTATAATGAGGTTGCAAGATACAAAGCTCATAGATTAATTCAATTACAGTTCGGTATACCAGTGATGAAAACTTGGATTTTGAAATTAAAAACCTATTATTGACGTTAGCACCAAAAATGAAATATTTAGGGAAAAATCTAACATACTAAGTACAGGATTAATATAAGAAAAACTATAAAGCTCTGATGAAAGAAAGTAAAGAACTAATTAAATGATGATTTTATCCGTGTTCATGGATAGAAAGAAAATATGGTTAAAATGTTAGTTCTCCTGAATTTGATCTACAGATTATTTTCAATTTCAGTCAAAATATTATTAAGGTTTTTTTTGTGGATATTGACGAATTTTTTCTAAATTTATATGAGAAAAGAAAAAACTCAGAATAGGCAACACAATATTGAAAAAGAACAAAGTCAGAGACCTAACACTCCCTGAGTTCAAAACTTATATAGCTACAGTAATCAAGTAGCATTAGCAGAAAATAATAACAGTAATAGAGAAATAGATAATGGAACAGAAAGAAAAGTCCAGAAATAGGCCCACATAAATGTAGTGCACTGATCTTCGACAAAAACAAAGATGCAATCCTATTGAGAAGGATAGTGTTTCCAACACATGATGCTGGAACAACGGACATAAATATGCAAAAGATGAATCCAGACACAGGCCTTACACTTTTAACAAAAATCTGCTTAAAATTATTATAAACCTAAATATTAAACATACACTTAAATTTTTTTGTCGAAAATGGTAACATAGAAGAAAATCTAGGTGGATTTTGCTTCATAGTTAAAACACCAAAAGCACAATTCATGAAAGAAAAAACTGATTTGTTGGATGTCACTGAGATTAGAAACTTCTGTGCAACAAGACACTGTTTAGAAAATAAAAAGACAAGTCACAGACTGGGACACAAAATATTTAAAAATACTTATTGAATATATATATAGATAGATAGATGACATTTAAATATTTTTTTTAAATTTTATATTTCCATAGGTTTTTGGGGAACAGGTGGTATTTGGTTACATGAGTAAGTTATTTGGTGATGATTTGTGAGATTTTGATGCACCCATCACCTGAACAGTATACACTGCACCCAATTCGTCATCTTTTATCCCTCACCCTCTTCCCACCCTTTTCCCTGAGTCCCCAAAGTCCACTGTGTCATTCTTATGCCTTTGTATCTTTATAGCTTAGGTGCCACTTATGTGTGAGAACATAAGATTTTTGGTTTTCCATTCCTGAGCTACTTCACTTAGAATAATAGTCTCTAGTTCTAGTTCCATGCAGGTTGCTGTGAATGCCATTAATTCATTCCTTTTTGCCAAAAAATACGGGCAAAAACTAGTTAAAACGTGGGTAAGCAATCTGAACAGACACTTCATTAAAAAAGACATACCAATGACCAGTAAGCATATGATGGAGTCAGGACTGGAGTGACACATCTGCAAGCAAAGGGATGCCCGAAGCTACCTGAAACTGGGAGAGAAGCATGGCTTGGGTTCTTTCTAATGCTTTCAGAGGGAGCATGGTTCTGTTGACATCTTGATGTCAGATACCTGGACCCCAGAACGTCGGAAGATAAATCCCTGCTGTTCTAAACCATGCAGTCTGTGGTACTGCCTTATAGTAGTTTTAGGGAACTAATACAAAAACCAATTCCTGGAAAAGATGCAGAGCAACAGGAAGCTGTTGTTTATTCCTAGTGGAAATGCAAAACAGTATAGCCATTTCAAAGAAAATTTGACAGTTTCTTACAAAACAAGATATATTATTAACATATAAAAACAAGCAAATTCCTAGGTATTAACATATAAAAACAAGCACATTTCAACTGATTTGAAATTTTATGTCTATGGAAAAGTGAGTGTTTTTAGATGATTATGAATAATTGCTAAAAACCAGAAGGAACCATACACTAGGTGAATGGATAAATAAGTTGCTGTACATCCATGCCATGCAACAGAATATTATCCACGGAGAGAAACACATGAGATATCAGACATATGGTACATCTTGAAACACGTGGGCAAAACTAAAATGTATATTGCTAAGTGAAAGAAATCCAATATAAAATAGGCTACAAAATCTATTATTCCATTTATGTGACATTCTGGAAAAGACAAAATTATGATGACAGTTAAAAATATCGGCCGGGCGCAGTGGCTCACGCCTGTAATCCCAGCACTTTGGGAGGCCGAGGCGGGTGGATCATGAGGTCAGGAGATCAAGACCATCCTGGCTAACACGGTGAAACCCATCTCTATTAAAAAAATACAAAAAAAATTAGCCAGGCGCAGTGGCAGGCGCCTGTAGTCCCAGCTACTCGGGAGGCTGAGGCAGGAGAATGGCATGAACCCGGGATGCGGAGCTTGCAGTGAGCCGAGATTGCACCACTGCACTCCAGCCTGGGCGACAGAGCGAGACTCCATCTCAAAAAAAAAAAAAAAAAAAAAAAAAATCAGTGGTTGCAAGAGTTTGAAAAAGAAGGAGAGAGTGGAAGCACAGGGAATAGTTGATGGCCATAAAGCTATTCTGCATGATATTGTAATGGTGGATATGTAACATTCATCAAAATCTATAGGACTCAACAGCACAAAGAGTTAATGTTCACATATAAAAATGTTAAAAATCATGTAAAGATTTGGAGAAACCCAAGAAGAAATGGAGAAAGCGGAGAAAGAACATGTAACTGTATTGAAAATACATGAAACCACCTCACTGAGTGGGGTGGAAGTTGAAAGTTAGTGGAATCTGTAAGTCTATAGGCATAAAAACCTGTACGTAAGCACTATACCTTGGTTGATAAATGTATCTTCCATATGAAGTGCTGGTTTAAAATTATGATCACAGTATATAGATGTATAGGAATTGAAAAAATAAGCAAAGGGAAGATGCTGAGATGCAGGATTCTCAGTGTTGGCATGGACGGTTACAGATAATGAAGGGAAAGAGAACAGAGTGATTTGCGTAGTAATGGATTAGAGTTGGAGATATCAGCATGTATTCATGCTTATCTTAATATAAATACAAATAAATCTAAGATATTTATAGATATGTATATGTGCACAGGTTAGTATACACATGTAGATTTATATGCTCTGTCAGTCGAGAGGCCAAGAAGCAATGATATTGACAACAATGAACACACCTAGTGCTCAAAGGTTGCTTTCTAATGTCATTCTCCAGTAAAATGAAAAATGATTCCTTGGAGAAATGCCTGATTATATGACCAGGTCAGGAGAGATATAGAATGAACCTGGGGCCTCTTGCAGGGCATGAAAGAAAGTGTTCAAAAATTAAGAAAAAGATGTAAAGTGAGGTTATATGGAAGCAACACAGGAACTAACTAAAAGAAATCTCAATGGCTAGAGTTGGAACAATTTGAGCAACAAAATAAAGTAGTCTTTCATTGTAACCCACAACATAAATATCCATGTGTCCATACTAATATAAATACATGATTGAATAAGTAAATTGTGAGAATAAATAATTTCCCATTCAGAAGGATTCCAAATAGCTTATGGGAGAATTCTGCCCTCAAAGGCTGGGAGTATAACCATCCCCAGCCTTGTCAAGGCTGGGCTGTATATGGCAACTTCATTCCCAAGAGTAGAGTATGGAAATAAAGGAAAAGAGTAATTTTACAGTGGAGAAGCTTGCAAGACACTGGCTCATCAGAAGATCGAGATTACCCTCAACAGGGATAACTCATGGTGATGTGCACCCTTGACATGACATCAGTGATGCAATGTTAAGAATGGACTTTACCTCTGAGGGCTTCCTCCCCAAAACACATAACCCTCATCTAATTATTTAAAAAATCAGACAAAACCCAATTGAGGGAAATTCTACAAATTCATAGCCAGTGCTCTCCTCAAAACTGTAAAGGTTATCATGAAAAAGGAAAGTCTGAGAAAGTGTCATAGCCAAGAGAAGTACATGGGAACTCTCCCTAAGATTTTTTGAAAGTTTTCTGTAAATGTAATTTTTTTCTAAAACAAACTATATATACATATATGTTTACATACATATATAACGGCTAGAGTTGCATCAATTTGAGCAACAAAATAAAGTAGTCTTTCATTATAACCCACAACTTTGGTTTATCACATCATATTATCTATATATAATGTTATATTACGTATATAACATACAATGTTTTATGTATATATATAAACATATATATATATTTTTAAACACATGTAACTCAACTATTTTCCACAAAATAGTAGTGTTGTGATTTTCAGTAATGGTGCTTAATTAAAATTCAGGTGTTTCTCAGTCTGTTCCAGCAATTCCCAGCCACATCCCTCTCTTTGCTTAGATACTGGGTTACTTCTTCCGAGCTTCTCACTGTATCTCAGAATTGTTTTCTTCTATCTCTGAACAAAAAATCAACACTTTGTCTTCATCACCTGACACAAGTGAAAAACTTGTTCTTCAACTCCAGCAATGCAAAAGTTTCTGATAGTTGGTGCATAACTAATGGACTCATCCTTCTGAGGGAAGGAGATGTGTCAGGAGGAATATGATGTGATAAACCAATGTTGACATCTGAGGACAGAGTGACAAGCCAATTAGTAGAACAACAAAACCATGTGCTTCATGATTAGCCACCAAGACAATGTCAATTCTCTTCTTGCTGTGTTCACCTGTCAAAGCAAAGAAAGTTTCTTTGAATCCTTTTGCATGTTCTGAATTTCTAACTCTGAACCCTTGATCCAAGGTAAAGGGAAACTTAAACTTTCCTGCTTGCTTGCACCAAGAGTGAGCTATCTATTTTTCATTACTCTGCTATGTTTTAGAAGAGATCACACCCTTCTCGGTGTCACTGAGGCTGACATAATTCTGACCAGCCAGGACACTATTACTCTGTCTTGGATTCTGAAGGCCTCATGTGTTGTCTCTTGGGGGTGGCACAAAGATGGGACCCCTAATTGGACAGCAGAACCTCTATGTGCTCCAGAGGCCTGGACATGCTATCCCCAGAGTCACCTCCACCCCACTCTGATTTTCCCGCTCCAAACAAATGCTAAAAGTAACAATCAAATGGTCCCCCAAATGGTCAATTTTTTGTTTCCTCTCAAATTCTTTCAGATTATTTGACATATTTTGGGTTTATTTTTTAAAATGTATTTTTAAAATGTCAGCTTCTAAAAAGTACACACAAATCTCACTCCCTTCCTTGCCATTGCCTTTAGAGTACATTTTAAGTGGAAATTTGGTTACATTGACACAAGCCAAGCATTTTCATCATCTTCTAACAAAGACTTAAGAGAATATTTATTTATTTATTTATTTATTTATTTTGCGATGAAGTTTCACCCTTTCGCCCAGGCTGGAGTGAAGTGGCACGATCTCAGCTCACTGCAACATCTGCCCCCCTGATTCAAGCGATTCTCCTTCCTCAGCTGGGATTATAGGTGCCCACCACCACGCCCGGCTAACTGTTGTATTTTTAGTAGAGGCGGGGTTTCCCCAGGCTGGTCTCAAACTCCAGACCTGACATGATCTGCCCGCCTTGGCCTCACAAAGTGCTGGGGTTACAGGGGTGAGCCACTGTGCTCTGCCAACAGAACATTTGAAAGAGACATGTGAATGGTGCTCTCTTTAGAAGTTTCATGTCTGCTCCTAAAACCAGGTCAGGTAATAGTGACATTTTTTTTATTTGTTTGGTTTTTAAACGTTTTTTGTTGTTGTTGTTGCTTTTTATTTATACATAATAATTGTACATATGTATATACATGGATACATGCATAAAATGTGTAATTTACTATAAATTTCAAAATAGCTATAAAAGAAGATTTGAAATGCTTTCAATAGATTCAAATTTCTGTGCATTTCTGCTCTGGAAAGACAATCCAGCAACATCTCTTCTCCTTTATGACACATGTTGTTTCTTCACAGGATATCCTGGAGTCTGAGTTTTAATTCAATAGACTGAAACCAATGCCTAGTTAGAAAGCATTTTTAATATCTACAGCACTTTTTTTTTTAAAGGTAGAGTTTTGTAATAGAAACGCTGATAATCAGGTCTAAGTATCCCTGGAGACTGTAGCCCTCCCTTAAGATTAATAAGAAGAGATACTTCTAATAACAATAGCAGCAGGAGATGTGCTGGGAAGTGATCTGGAGATCTTAAAATGTTTTCACAAATACATGACTCAGACTCTAGGTCACCAGTCTCCATCTTAGTTTTAATTATTTTTTTAAAAATCCATCAATTCAGAAAGCCCTCAGTGCTTTGGATGTGCTTTTTCCATATTCCATTCTGCACTCCTAGAGAGCCTCTTGGTGCCCAGTGTTCAACCATAATCACCCTTGCGTTATAGATATGATTTCAGCCTGGAGTGAGCTTATGTGCAATATGATGAATCACTCTCCAGTGGGATCTAACACTGAGAAGATTTACAACAGCTTGTACTTAGAGAATTAATAAAGGCAGTGATAGTGATTCGCGTTTTTTTTTTAAATAAAAAACTCTTTCCGTTCTTTAAATGTTAGCTTTCTTAGTCCACAGAATTATATTTGCTTACAGATCTTGGGCTATAAATGTCTAGCACAATGCCTACTCTTAAATTGGAATTGAGCAGAATTTAAAAGCTGGCTTGTGCAAGCATGAGAAACGTTGGGCTAAAATGTTAGGTTTGCATTGGAGATTAGGAAGGGAGAAGTGACATTTTCTGTTAATGTGAAATAGAGGAAGGTTTATCAAAATTGTGTCCCAAAGGCTGAAGGGGGCAGATACGACATACATTGGTCTTTGGCTTATCTTTGCAAGGAAAGCAGATATTAAAGAGAGGCGTGTCCTCAGGGATCTCCTCTTTTATTGGCGTTAGGAAATACAGGAGAACGAATGAAGAGCATGGAAAATTTCCAGCAGGGCCTAGAAGCCAGAAAAAAAAACGCACATGCTGATTATCAATGAGCCTCTCCCATTCCACCCTGCCCTCCTCCCCTTGGCCCAACACCCTGCATAGCCTCAGCTCATGTGGCTTTCTCTTGTTTGTGTGTCAACTAAAAATATCTTGCACACTTTACATAAATCATATTTTTAAATACACCAGAGTGGTTCAAATAACCTTTATTGGAGATAGTTAAGAGAACTCACTAGCAGTCTAAGTTCTGCTGTTAACAGGATCTTAGACATATTCTTTTCATCTGTAAAACAAAGTTGTTGGGTAGGATGATGACCAACACTGCTTCTAACATGGACACTCTATGATTCTAATTTATCAATAAATAATGTGATGCAATATAAAGATAGCTTTCATTTTGCTATATTTTCAGACATAATAGGAAAAATCATCAATAACCTAATTTTAAATTTTAGGCTACCACATCTCTATTTTGGAAGCTATTTCAAGTTTTCCACACTCTCCCCCAAAATTTTCTTCTTTAGATACTGGGGTTGAAGAAAGTCATGCCGGTTGGAATCTTACAGAGTTGTTCAAAGATAGTTTTACTCAATGTAGCAAATAAAAATACTGGACATCCAGTTCATTCTGAATTTTAGATAAACAACATATAATTTTAATATAAGTATATACCATGAAATATTTGTGATATACTAAAAAAAGTATCCCTTACTTACATGAAATCAAACTTTAACTAAGCATCCTATATTTGATCTGGCAATTCTATTTGAGGATCAACTAAAAGAGTTTACAAAAATGCTGCGCTTAGTAAATGCTAGTTTCCTTTTACTTATTTAGTATCCCTGCAGAACAACCCAGAAGTGGAGTATTTCCTAATCTGTAAGACTTTAAAGTATAAAACACACCCTTATTTCTTTAAGAAAATATTTATGGAAGGGAATCTAACTACTTTCTATCATATATGCATAGGAAATGAATTTTAAAATGGTTTTGTAGGGAAAATACATAATCCTGCTTATGTAAGTACAATATGCTATATATTATATATAAGAAAACAATTCTGGATTGGAAGTAATAGCCAACTAGTGCTGAGAAATTATAAAATAACATAGTTAAAAGATATATATCATCATCAGTGAATGCAAAAGCACAGCAGAAAAAATACCTCAGGTATGTTAGTAAGTTGGGTCTATCTCTTCTGTGCATTATTATAAAAACAAATGCCAGTACAGTCATTCATAGATATTGGTAACTAACAATCACGGTGTAATAAAAAATGAGATTAGCATGAATTTCCATCCTGTACTTGCAGGCTGGGTAAATCAAAAAACAATGACAACAACAAAAAACATGAATTTTGAATGAATTCCCACTCAAGGAATGTGGACAAATTATATGTAGATTATATGTAGACAAAACAATATTTCAGTAAAAACACTGAAGGAACAAAAAACTTTAATGAAATTCCAATGCTATGCTCATGCATGCAGAAAAAAAATAATTTTCCTGACAATTACTATAGAACAAACAACAGGGGAGAAAATGAATGAAATCTTGGAAAAACTAGCTTAATCAAGAACTCACTAGAGCTTCTGTTACTGTTTGGGGCCATCAAGCATTGTGGGAGTAATAATTATAAATCAAACCTATACAAGAAACAAACCCTACCTGCAGTTTTCCAGGTATCCCAGGTCTTGATATGTTTGTTAAGCAAACCTCCCTGAGATGTGAGGTTTCTGTGTTTACTCTGATGTTTTTGGCTTGCTCTTCTGGCCATTATGGAGTAGCAACCTTGGTACTCTCTTGAAATCCACTATCTATAGCTCCTATTAGAGGTGGGAACAACTAATGGCTTTAAATGTGCAATATGGGTTGGCTGAACCTACAATAATGTTAAAATAAGTTGCTTTCAGGAAAAAAGCTAGCGTATATTATATATATTTATAATGTGGTGATGACCATATTTGATTAGAGAAGTTAATGAGGAACAAAATATAAAACTATAATAATTACTAAGTGTTGGCAACTAATTTTTAAAAATTCAGCCCTGATTAAAATAAAGGGGCCCAGATACATTTTCAAAGACCAAGCAAAAAGGATGACTTTAGAGCTGAGAGGCAATAAATTTATAATTGGCACAGAGATCAAGGAACATCGGCCGTGTCCCATGTCAGCATCATGGATCAGAAAACAGTAGTAGAAGTTAGAAGTGAAAGAACCCAAGAGTCTATTAGGATACAGAGTTGGAAATGACTGGAAAATAACCTCCTGGGCAATGGAAGACCCATAGACATTACTACCAGCTTTCTCTCTACCCCAGGTCCTGTAGAGACTTGGCACCCAAGGAGCATTGGTGAAATAAATGAACAAACAAAAATGAAATTTAATTCCCTAGTGTCCAGGAAAATACAGAATGAAGACTTTGAACTTCCCTATGGAGATAAAAGTAGATGATCAGGCAATTATCTATTTTTAGTAAAATATCAAAAAGTTAAATTGACTTCAGCTGGTGTGTGTGTAGAAAAAAGGGATGTGTTTAACAAAAACAAAAATCTACTATCTTTAAATGGTATATTTTCAGGTGATTTTTAGAGACATTTTTCACAATGCATATATATAATTTTATGGTAAAAATTATGTTCATTTGAATTAATTTTAGGGAAGCACAAACTAAGTGACAATCGAGCAATGAGCAGATGGGATATTGATTCCCAGGTCACCAACTGTTGCCCTAAAATGACTCTCACTCAAATCTCAAGCCTGGGATCGATGCCCTAATCACCAAGAACATGTAAGGGTAAGGAGAAAAATAAAATGAACACACTGCATCACTACTTTGTAAATGCTGTGATGCAGGGGCTATTTCCCTGATAAGAAAAAGCTGCAGCATCTGCCATCAGGCATCCATCCCGCCTCATTCCTTCCCTTCTCTCAGTCCACGCATCACAATTATGACCCCAGCCAGCCTCCCACCTTAGTGGTCCCGCCAGCTGCTACCTGGAGCCAGAACTCAGAGGCTAGATTTATTTTCCAGGATGAGGCCCCAAGGGCCTTAGAAAACACTCACCAAAATGATGGTTGTCTTCTCCATAATTCTGTCTGGAAAGCAGCGTCTGACCTGTAGCTTATGTGATATCCCAGGGCTGGTGTGTCATGACAGAGGCTATCAGGGTGGACAAACAATGTGGCATGTGGGAAAGGGCGATGATCCAAACTGAAGGGCTCCAGAAGAGGCATGAGAGTGCCCAGGGCCGGGCATCCAGCCTGACTTGTGCTTTCCCATCACCAATTCCCCACCTCTCTTCGGGAAATGCTCCCAACCACAAATGCAAGTAAATGAATGAGCCTTTTGCTTTGATATCAATGGCTGGATTTGCCAATGTCCAACCCTGCAGGAGGGTGTGGGTGGGGCTCAGGCCTCTGTTGCAGTCACCAGAGACGGTGTGCTGCTTCCTTCCTACGTGCTAGAGTTGCAGGCTTGAGATTAAGGAGGGCCGAGTTAGGAGGATGGGACCCCTGAGAGAAGAGAGACATTTTTTGCTAAGGTAGTCCTTTAGTTAAGATGTCAGCACCTAAACAAAACAAGAAGGGTTGGGTGCAGTGGTTCATGCCTGTGATCCCAGCACTTTGGGAGGCCAAGGCAGGTAGATCACTCAAGCCCAGGAGTTTGAGACCAGCCTGGACAACATGGTAAAACACCGTCTCTACAAAAATTAGCGAGACATGGTGGTGCATGCCTGCAGTCCCAGCTACTCAAGAGGCTGAGGTGGGCGGATCACCTGAGCCTGAGGAGGTCAAGGCTGCAGTGAGCTGTGATTCTGCCACTGCACTCCAGCTTGGGTGATAGAGTGAGACCCTGCTTAAAAAACAAACAAACAAACACAAACAACAGTAAAGAATAGAAAAAGAAAAAATAAAGAAAACAGGAAAGGTATCCAAGAAGAGACTTTGCAGGCATGGGTGAGTCACAGGACTTGGGTTCGAGTACCCCCTCTGTCATCTGTTGACACAAGGATCTCAGGAGAGTGGCTTTCCCTTTAGGCTGTGTGCTTCTTTCTATGGGGGAAATAATAGTTCCTACTTCACTACGTTTAGCAATATTGATAATACACACAACACACTCAGCACAGCATTGACACATTGCAAATACTTAAATAAATGTTACTGCTTAAAAACCAAAACACGAAAGCAGAAGGAAGAGCCAGAACCCCAGAGAGAAGACAAAAGTTTTAAAGATGTCAGAAGTGCAATGTTTTATGCTCATACACTTGCAGGTCCGTAGATCCAAATGTGGGTAAACTGAGCCAGTGTGCGTCATCTCTACACCACCTCAACGATCTGAACAACCAGGCATCAGCATGGTGGGCAGCTTGTTTTCCTTTAATGACCTCCTTAATCATCTCTGGCTACAGATTAACTAGCCTATTAAAATGAAGACAGACATGAGTTGCACACTTCACGCTCTTTCTGCAACCGAAACTACAACCAAGGTTGTAGCTGGTTGCCTTCTCAGGGTGGTACTGAATCCTCCTCCAAGTAGCATTTGGAGGGTAATTTTTCTGAGCGTCCTAGTGGCGCAGACATCTTAAAATCCAAAAAAGGTGAACTGTGGTTAAACATTTATTGACAACTCACAGAATGATAATTTTCTCCCATCACTAGCAGGAATCCAGTAGGAGTCTTTTGAAACAATTGTTGATTTGAAAGTCCGGTGTCTTGTATCCTAAACCGAGAACATAGTAATGAGATGCAAATAAACTAGAAACAAAGGAAGAGATGTATACATGACTGTAAGCTGATCTTTTAGAAGTTTGTTGAAATCTGCAAACCTTTTTCATTTTGCTCATTTGCCATGATTTGTCACCCTCACCAAGATAAATACAATTATCTCTTCCCCCAGTTCTTCTATCACTGCCTGGTCTAAGGTGAGAAAAACAACCTTAACTCTCTTTTGTCTTTGGAGTTTATGCAGGATATTCATCAGGAAGTGACTGGGTGACTTTATCCAGGAGCAACTCATGTGACATATGCCCTTTGTCCGTGGTTCACTAATCAACACCAACTGGCCCGTACCATCTACTCAACTGGCACAAGAATAAACAGTTACTTGGAGGTATCAAATAGATACCCACATTACAGTCACACTGGATGAGTTTATCACAGAATTTTCTTTGTCCTTGGGTCTGCAGAACTGATACTGGACATCACATTCCTCCTTGTTTCAATGGAACTCATCAAAATCTCCAAAATTACGTTCAGAGATGTCTTCCTTAGACTGGTGTTCACTGATGCGCTCATGAAGGTGATGTACTGTGGGCGTCCAAGGATCACCTGCTCCAAAGTCTGATCCACCATTGGCTGGCCAGTGGCCAATCAGATAATCTCAATGGCAGGAACCAACAGTGAGCTGTGGGCACTGCACTGTGATGTCACAGAACCTGGGACCTGCGGCCATGCTGGGCTAGGACAAGAGGCAGAGGCAGAGAGACAGAGAGGAGCCACCCTAAGAAGAGAGACCAGGTGGGCTTTTCTACGTTGGTGCCTTGCATTTTAGCTCTTTTTTTGCTGTATGCTCCCAGATCAACCCCAGATGAACTGCTATAGCTTTCAAATACCTGTTGTTTCTTGGGCTTTCCTAAGTAATCATCTCTCCTTCCTGATACAAGATAACTCTCCCTGGAAGACCACTCCACAATCTTCTGGTAACTTTGTGAACTTAGACAACTTACTTAACTTCTCTGGGCCTCAGCTTCCCCATCTGTAAAACAGCAACAATAACCCTCCCCCTATCCCACAGAGTTGCCCTGAGGGCCAAAATAACAAATTCATGTGAGAGATTTGTGTGTATTGCCTGAGACATAAAGCACACTTAATAACAATGAATGATTATACTGGGTACTTCATTTTTCTGAACGCCTACTGGAGGATTGGAATTAGGATGGGGTCCACCTGCATCCAACCCACTGCTCCCTCTGGTTTGGGAGTGGCGCAATGGTGTGGTAGTTAATAGCAAAAACTCTGGGGCTGGTCTGAGGTTAATCCTGGTTCTACCACTTACTAGTTGTGTGGCCCTGGGCAAGTTACCTAACTTCTTTGTTCTATAATTTCCCCACTTGTGAGATGAAAATAATAGTAACTATCTCACAAAATACATTTTAATAAGAAGGTAATGTATCTAAAATGTTTAAAGCAATGTCTGAAACATGCTGTGAGTGCTGTACAAAGGTTGGGTATAATCATATTATGTTATCCTCCCAGTTGTCCCCAGCAACCAGACTGGTCATTCTAAATCACAGGTCTCTCCAGGCCCTGCTTCTGCTCCACACCCCTCAGTGACCCCTCAAAGTGCCCTTGAAGCTTGTGCTCCTTGGCTCAGACATCACACACTAGTGAACTGACCCCTGCCACATCTCCAGCCTCATCTTACTCCACAGAGCAGCCACAGATGCACTTCCTCCCCCACGGTATTAGTCCATTTTCACACTGCTGATAAAGACATACCCAAGACTGGGTAATTTATAAAGAAAAAGAGGTTTAATGAACTCACAGTTCCACATGGCTGAGGAGGCCTCACAATCATGGTGGAAGGCGAAAGGCACATCTTACATGGTGGCAGACAGGAGAGAATGAGAGCCAAGTGAATGGACAAACCCCTTATAAAACCATCAGATCTCATGAGACGTATTCACTACCACGAGAACAGTGTGGAGGAACCTCCCCCATGATTCAATTATCTCCCACCAGGTTCCTCCCACAACAAATGGGAATTATGGGAGCTATAATTCAAGATGAGATTTGAGAGGGGACACAGCCAAACTATATCATCCACCCACCCTAGGCCTAGACAGATGCTATGGCCTCTGCCTGGCAGTTGTTCCCAGCATCCATGTCTTCTACAGTAGAGCAATGACACCTGTTCATCTTTTGAGTCTCAGCTTAGGGTCCACTTCCTCCAGGAAGCCTGTCTTGACTTGTCAGGTTCCATCAGATGCCCACTCTCTGAGTTCATCTCTGCCAGACCACTTACCATCTGTGCTGTAATCCTTGGTGTATACATCTGCTCCTCCACTCGTGTTTGTTTGTTTGTTTGTTTGTTGTGTGTGTGTGTGTATGTGTGTGTGTGTGTGTGTGTGTGTGCTTGGATGCTGTATCTGACTAAAGGTTACCTCATCAGGCAAATATTTTTGTCACCTAACAAGAGGCAAGTGGTTCTGGGGTGGGCTTGTATAAGGTGCATCGATGTGCTTTGGTCAAGAATTAGGCCGAGGCAGACATCAGGCCTGCATGACTCCGTGGGATTGGTGAGCAGGCGCACACCTCCACTTGTTATATAACCTGTTTGTGTAAGCTCATACATGGCTCTACGCCACTCTTGTCTGTAAAAGGTATAACTAACCTGCTGATGCTGTACAGGTGCTGTTTGTCTTGGCTCAGCTCAGTATGGCATGGCATGGCACGGCACAGCTCGGTGCTGGTGCCCAGAGAGATAGTATGAAACTGCTGATGCCTGTAAGTGAGAGCTACCCACCTTGAAGGTGGCAGTCGGGAGCCAGGAACTGGCTTGTGCCTGGAGAGAGAAAGAGTTAAGCTGTGAACCCTGACAGAGCTGGCCTTGCAGGCCTGGAAGAGCAGCTCCAGGCGTGGGGGTGGCAGGAGCCACAGAGCTGGAATAGACAGCTGAGATAAAGGTGGACAGTGTGAGAGAGTTGCTGATGAGAGAGCTGCTGACAAGAGAGCTGCTGAATAAACCATATTTACCTGCTTGCAGCCCCCCAGGTGTTCTCCCTCTCTCCTCCTCCTCCTTCTTATTCTTCACCCCCTCCTCCTTTTTCTTCTTCCTCTCTCTCTCTCTTTATCTCTCCATCCCTCACTATTTTCAGGAATGTTAATAATGCCCAGAAGTCTCAAGCAAACTTTCTAGCTGCAGGCCTCATTCCCATGTACTAGCACCAAGAGATGCTGAGAGATGGACATCTGGGAGAGAAGGGATCCATGGGCAGGGAGAGAGGGCTGGGATGGATGCCATGTGGCCAACCCAGAATGCCATCCCTGGGACCCCTGAATTCTATAAGGAAAGGACAGGACATGAAGCTGTGTGTATTCCCTGGAGGTGCTTATTGCCTGTGTATTAATAATAACATTAAAATAACAGCAAGCATAATACCTATTTCAGAGTCACTATATTGCAAAGTTCTAGGAGGCTTATTTACCCTGAGAGTCCTGAGACAGGTCCCCTCTGGGAAGGTGTGATTGGAGCTACTGCCATGCATTGCATGGCACCCCACTGTGCAGTGTCTGTACCAATGATCTAATTCGTTCCTCACAAAACAGCGTGATGGGAGTGGGTGTGGCTACAACTCCCCTTTATAAATGAGGAAGTGAAGAACGGCGAGGGTTTTTTCCATAGGGATGTGAGGTTCTGATTTATTCTGGGCTTTATCATCATTAGTACCTGCAGCCAAAACATGTTTATTGTAGGGATTTTCAAACTAGTTGGACCAGGGGCAAGGATAGCAGAGAAGGTTTACTCCCTAAACACAGGTGGTTCTCTTAGGGTGGCCTAAGAGCCTAAGCTCACCTGGACCAATTCAGCTTCTGCAGTTTGCCAGCTACTTGATTAATAGCTACTGTCATTCACTCTGGCCTCAATATAAACCCAGGTGTTGAGCAATTAAAGTCCTAGGGAAAGATGTATACAGTTTGTTCTCCTTGAAAATCATAAGCATCACCAGTCAACAATACAGGCTCACATAGCAAGGCAGAGAAATCTGGATGATTGGCAGCTACTTGTGTGTCTCTTCTATAATTCAGGGTCGTCACTGACCGTCCAAGGGCTTCATTTGCAGACCCTGTGCATGTGGACAGGGCCATGTGGTTAGTTCCCACCAAAAGACAGCAGACTGGTGTGTTTCACTTCAGAGATAAGGACTTTCTATGCTGAAGAGATGGGCATCTGGAAGAGAGGAAATCCACGAGCAGGGAGAGATTCCTTCTCACACTCTTCTTCTTTTGCAATGACTTTAGAAGCCATGTGTTGACTATGATGAAGCTACAAGAGGGAACGCATCAGATCCCTTGAGTCACCATGTGAGAGAGAGGGCTGAGGATGAAAGCAGCCAGAGACAAAACAAGAGCATTGGGCTGTATATCAAAAAGCAAACAAATAAACAAAAAATCCCATGCCTTTCTTGCTGGGCTACTGATAGGTGGGGGATGGTTGTTACAGGACATTAGCCTATCTGGCTAATACACATATCCTGTCTCTATGACATGAACTAATTTAAAGAGGAAAGAAGCTCAACATCCAGTTAATATCTGGTTACTGACCAGTTTCAATACAACAGTTTTATCTGCAAACAAATTTGTGTGTAGATGCAGCCAAATATGCACAATTACACCTTTCTTACACCTCATTGCAATGATATAGAAAAACAGTACATAGAATGATCCTTGAATTGTGAATCTTTCCGTGTATTGGCAGGAAACACATCATGCACTAAAAAGGGGAAAGTGATGAGAGTCTAGGGACTATTTTCATAGATGAGAGGAGACTTGAAGGTAAAAACAAGGAACAGGGAAGCACATCAGGGTGATAGTAGGAAGCCCACTAGCTCTGGGCCAGAAGTGAATGGAAAGGAATATGTGAGTGGAGCCCAGAGGGAGCTGCGACTGTCGGATCTGGACACCCAACAGGAGCTGTGGTCTCCGGTAAAACAACTGAGGCTCAGCCACCTGTGGCCAAGCAGACAGCGTGGTAGGCACCTTGATATGCTGCTGCCCAGACCCTCTTTTGATGAAAGGTGTGTTGCTGCAGCTTCAGGGAGTGCTGTCACGGTAGGTAGACTCCAGCTGCAGCCCCTTCAGGGAGTGCCTGAGCTGCTGCGAGTCATCATCTCCAGGGGCAAGCCCCTTCCCAGTGGGCCCACAAACAGTGACTTGCCCTGGGAGTATAAAGGCCTGACCATCTCAGCCCACCTCGGGGAAATCGCTAGGACCATCCTAGCTCCCAAGCTCACTCCAGAGTTGGCCATTTTTTCTGGGCCTGCTTCACAGCTCAATATTTCCCTCTGCCCACTCCTGCTTCCTTTTCTTCCTTTCCAAGGAATGGGTCCCAAAGTCACTCCCTAATAAGCACCCTGCACACTAATCTCCATTGCAGAGTCTTCTTTCTCAGTGAACCATCCAGCAATGGGGTGGGAAAGCAGGGTTGTAAACACCCTGACCTCTCCCTCTCTTCCTGCTCTTTTACCTGCAGGCACCACTCATTGGCCAAATCCAATTGAAAGCAAGAGGGTGAGGAAACTGATGTGATTTTCAGAACTTGTTTAAAATAGGGCTGGACAAGGGTGGGGAATACATGTTTGTTCTTAACCATAAAAAGAGATGATGTGTCTAGGGAGGAAGGAGAGGGGGAAGCCATTAGCTGACAGTGTAACAAAAGCAGTGCCCCTGATGAAAACAAGATCTGGATAATAATCTGTTCCAGATGAACAGCCAGATGCTGATGAGAGTTTATACAGTCCCTTGTTAATATGAATGTTTTTCTTGTGTGGTTTCCTTTAAGATTCAAAGCATCAGAGCAAAACGTGGGTGATGCATGTTATCCACAGACTCATGTTCCTGTAGTAGGATATCTCATTCCAGACAAAAACCTAGAGGTCACCTGCAACCCAGGGTTGTCCCTGGTATGCTCCAGTCTGGTCAGTGAGCATCCGTCATGCATGTGCCCAGCAGTGGGTTGGTTTGCATGTGGCACACCTGAGACCCTAGTGGCCTACAGATGTATTTGTTTATCATGTACAGTATTTAGAAAATGAAGCGTTTGGCAACATTTGCAAATTGGAAGATTTTTAATTAAAATATGGAATTGTGGTTTCCCTTGGAAAGGCCAGTGCTGTGGTGCCACTGGGACTCCAAGCCTACTGAGTAGCAGGTGTCCTGCAGACCCCACCTATCCCTATTGTCCCCATCACAGAAGCTGAGTGTTAGATGCTATTTATCATTGCACATGAGCAGACCTAAGGGAAGAGCAAAGTATTTCTTCTACCAAAGTCCCTGTCCAAGTGGGAAAATAAAAAGTAGCGTGGACCAGGTGTTTCAAGAAAAGTGCGAAGGAGCATATTTCTTTGAGGTAATGATAAATATTCCTTCATGCCCCATATGTAATTGTGTCTGTGTGATAAGGGTATATTATGCTCCACTTGTTTACTTTCCAGGTTGGCATGAGGTTATTTCTGCTTGGAATCCTGTTATGGGACTCTATATTATACCAGAGCCACTGGAAAGAGGAACAGTCCTATAGGAGAGGAAAAACTCATAGGAAACACTTGTTGACTGAACAATGGATGGAAATTTTATGCAGACTAACAAAAATCAGTGCAGGGAAATACAAATACAAACCTAGGCTTTCAATTGGCTGGTTCAAAATATTCAGAGATCGGAGCAGATAATATGAGCTCGAAGAGAAAGGGAAGCCTCCTGGAAACCGTGAAAGACTGGGTTAGGAACAGCAGATTAGGCTTGTACTTTTTAGCTTCTTCATCATAATCCATAATAAGAAATAATGCTGGACATAGTGGCTCACACCTGTAATCCCAGTACTTTGGGAGGCAGAGGCAGGAGGAATCCTTGAGGCCAAGAGTTCCAGACTACCCTGCGCAACACAGCAAAACCCCATGTATACAAAAATAAGAAATAAAAAAGTTAGCTAGGCATGGTAGTGCACACTTGCAGTCCCAGTTACCTGGGAGGCTGATGCAGGAGGATCACATCAGCCCAGGAGTTCAAGGCTGCAGTAAGCCATGATGGAGCCACTGCACTCCAGCTTGGACAACAGAGCAAGACCGTCTCTTTAAAATAAAAAAAGAAAAATAAATACATTTTACATTAGGATTTATCCACCCCCACATGCACACAAAAACACCTATACAATTTAAACCAAAATTTCATTAAGAATATACACCTTTGTTCCAAGAATATACCCTGATATATTTTATTCTATTCCATGCATTTTAAAAATGATAGTGGCCTGTAAATTGATGTCATTGATTACTAACAGTTGAACCATGGTTTACACCTAGGAAATAGTAATACCCACTGAATTCAGTACCTGCAACTGGAGCATTCTACAGCCTAGAAATATTTCAGGTCTAGCTCTTTTCTCCTCTCTTTTCTGAATTTTCCCTGTCTCAGGCTCTGTAAGACTGCCCATCAGGGAGGATCCCACCATGGCACAGATCTGGGTTTTTAAGCATTTAACTGGTGACTCATTTGATGAATCTTTGATTTTTCTGGTAAGCAAGAGACCTCTCGAAGCTGCTGACCTCTCATGATAAGAGGTTGTTTCCTGTCTCAAGGTGTCCAAGGAACGTTCGAGGCAATAAATCATTGCCAAAACTAATGTCATGAAGTTTCCTCCTGTGTCTGCTTTTACGCGTTTTACAGTTTCAAGTCTTATGTTTATATTTTGAATTCATTTTGACTTGATTTTTGTGTACGGTGTAAGATAAGGGCCCTGTTTAATTCTTTTGCATGTGGCTATCCAGTTTCTCAAAACCATTTGTTGAAGAGATCCTCTCATCATTGGGTATTCTTGGCACCCTTGCAGATGATCAGCTGATGATGTGTATGGATGTGGCACCAAAAGCAGAGAGGCAACACCAGTAAAAATGGACACTTGGGACTACATCATATTGACAGGCTTCTGAATAGCAAAGGAAATAAGCAACAAAGTGAAAAGGTGACCTACAAAATAGGAGAAAATGTTTGCAAACCATATATCTGAAAGGGATTGAATGTCTAAAAATACAAGAAACTCCCACAACTCAATAGCAAAACAAACAACTCAGTTTAAAAATAGGCCAAGGGCTGGGCGCGGTGGCTCATGCCTGTAATTTTGGCACTTTGGGAGGCTGAGGCAGGCGGATCACTTCAGGTCAGGAGTTCAAGACCAGCTTGGCCAACATGGTGAAACTCTGTCTCTACTAAAAATCCAAAAAATAAAAATAAAAAATAAAAAGCCAGGCATGGTGGCATGTGCCTGAAATCCCAGCTACTCAGTAGGCTAAGACACAAGAATCACCTAAACCCAGGAGGCAAAGGCTGAGGTGAGCCAAGATCGTGCCACTGCACTCCAGCCTGGGTGACAGAGTGAGACTCCGTCTTTAAAGAAAAAAAATATAGGCCAAGTATTTGATTATATGTTTTTCCAAAGAAGACACATAAATGGCCAATAGGTATATGAAAACATGTTCAACATTACTAATTATCAGGGGAATGCAAATTGAAACCACAATGAAATATCACCTCACACTTCCTAGGATGACTATTATAAAAATAAAATAAAAGGTAAGTGTTGGCAAGGATATGGAGAAACTGGAACTCTTGTACACTGTTGGAAGAAATGTAAAATGGTACAGCCACTATAGAAAAGTATAGAGGTTTCTCAAAAACATTAAAAATAGAACTACTGTATATTCTAGCAACTCTACTTCTGGGTATATGGAAAAAAAAAAGAATTGAAATCAGGATCACAAAGAGATATCTGCACACCCATGTTCATTTTAGCATTATTCACAATATCCAAGATTTGGAAAAAAACCCTAAATATCCATAAATGGATGAATGGATCAAGAAAATATGGCATATACATGCAATGGAATATTATTCAGCCTTATAAAAGAAGGAAATTCTGCAGTGTGCAATAACAGAAATGAATCTGGAGGACAATATGCTAAGTGAAATAACTGCTGCTTACATGAGGTATCTAAAATAAACTCACAGAAGCAGTGAGCAGAGCAGTGGTTTCCAGGGGCTGCGGAGATGGGGGAGGGGAAACAGGTATCAAGTTTCAGTTACGCAATAAAAATAGGTTCTAGAGATCTTCTGTACGACATAGCGCCACATTGTACACTTAAAATTTGTTAAAAGGATTTGAGAAAAGGAACACTAGCTGGCTCTAGTCGGACTAAAGCAAGGTCCTCTGCATTGCCCAAGGGGAGAAACAGCCTCAGACTACCCTGGTTTGACAAGGTCACGTTCAGGGTCAGTGGCAGGGACATCAGCTCCCTCAGGCCAGTAAGCAGTCACCAGTTTTTGAGAGAACCAAGCTGATGTCCCAAGCTGAGACTTCTTTCACACAAGAGACTGCACTCCCTCTCTCTTCCAGATTCAATGAATGTGCATCCAACAGGAGCACCTGGGCTGCCACCTTCAGACCAGAAGAGACTGCGGCGAATTTACTGATTCTATTACGTGACTGCCCCCAGACACTTGGCAACACATTGCCTGCAAAGGAGCTGCTAACTCATGTGCTGAAGCTACATGGAAAAAAATCAATGCCCAAAATGTTGCTGCAATTAATTAAGCCTTCACGAGAAAACAGGGCTGTACGTTATCAGTAGTTGAGCCTTCCCGGCCTGTTTCATAAGGAACTGGCTTCTGTGACCCAAGTCTGATGAGCCTGAGACAAGCTTGGCTTTACAGCATCGAGCTGCAAAAGGCAGGTCGAAGTCACTGTGTGGAAACCCTGGGCTCCTGCAGACCTATGGTTGTGCTTATTTCCGAATGCCTTAGCCCCTTGGCAGGGCTGAGAAAGCGAGAGCTCAGTAGGTCACATGACCACTTGTGAGCCAATCACTGTTGCACTGGGATGGCACACACTGATTGGCCAGCCCTGGGCAGCGCTCCCACCCTGCAGGTGTTTGAAGTCTGTGTATGAGGGATGTGGTCTGGCTATGGGAAAGCAGGGAGCTGTTTCAATACCAAGGGGGCAGGATTTCAAAGAAGAAAAATAAATCATTTCAATTACCTAGAGTGTGGAGGATTTGCAAACGTTTCTGAATTCTCAGGAGCATTTCTCAATCCTTGAAACATAGTTTCTGGACGCTGTTAGTGCACACTACAGTGGTCCGCACTTAACCACAGGGGTACGCTCCGAGACTCACAGTGGGTGCTTGACAACAGGATAGTACCAAGCTCTATATATGCCATGAATGTTTCTTATACATACATACCTATGATAAAGTTTAATTTATAAATTAGGCACAGGAACAGATTAACAAATAAGGACTCACAATAAACTAGGACAATGTAAACAACATACTGTAATAAACGATATTTGAATGTGGTTTATCTCTATTTCTCTCTCAAAATATCTTATTGTCAGTAATATTTTTAGACCGCGACTGACCATGAGTAACTGAAATGGAGGATAAGAGAGGACTACATGCACATTACAATATAATATTCATCATTGGGGCAAAGCTATTTTTACACATTTATACAGCACAGTGCAACATTCTTCTAGTAAGGAAGCGGCATATGCACAGAATGACATAGTTTCACGCACACAAAAATAGTGACACTCTCTCTCACACACACACACGCACACCAGCAGCCTGAGCAAAGCTTACATTTTGTAAAACCAGACACTCTCCCAAGCTCTGACCCTGGTCTCTCAGGACACACTTCATTCAGGAAGTGCAATTTCACTACCAGCCAACATGCAAATTCTTCTAATCCTGTTTTTGAAATATCTAATATGACTAGAAGTTTATAAGAAAAGATTTTTCTAAGTCGCTCGCACTAATGGACCTTTCCAAATGATAATTGTTCTGTTTCTGACATGTGTCCTTGAACTAAGTTCATTTTGTTCTTGTTTTTAATCCCAGTAATTTATCGGCAGACAGTAATTAGCTCAAAAAGGCACACTCTGGCAAGCACACAACTCACAACTGAATCATCCTTTCTACGGAAAACATGTCCCTCATGTCCCACTCTGCTCTGGAAGGCAGATTTCCCTCAACATTTCCAAAATGAGCTCACTCCTGGCCCAAGTTAAGAATCAATCTCTCTGTGTGTGTGTGTGTGTGTGTGTGTGTGTGTGTGTGTGTGTGTGTGTGTCTGTCTATCCTTTCCTGGATACCTGGATAGGGCTGAGGACCCGAGCGCTTGTGACTACATGGTTAGGCTATCAAGAAAGAACTTGGGTTCTTTCAAGTTCCGTAAGCAGAGTGATCATGTAATCTACCAACCAAACCAGGACACCATGCAGAGTAAACAGGGCCCATTGATATAGTCTTAGGACAACTGGCATATATCCCACTGTCCTAGGCAGAATAAGAGGTATAGACACCCGACAAAGCAGCACTTCCTCACCATCCTGTTCCAGTTCCTACCATCCACTCTCCATGGATGCCTCTCCTCTCTTTACTCTCATGCCCCATCCTGGTCAAATGCCACCTCCTCCATGGAGACTTCCTATCCCTGCTTAGCCCAGGTCCGGTGAATTCTCCATCATCAACTTACCTAATGCTTTGCCTCTTGTAGTAGTGACTTTGGTGTTGATTTTGCTGATTTCGATCCGCCTTGTATTGGTACTGAGAGAACTCAACCCAAACCAGCTAAAACAAAAAGAAAATAAATGTGAATGTTAATTGGCTCACTGACTGAAAAGTTTTGTGTATTGGTTTTAAGTGCCGCTTGATCAAGAGATTCAAATAAATATTGAAATCTCCCTTTCTCCCTCTTTTCCTCCTTCTCATGAAATCTTGGCTCTGTGTTCCTATGTTCTGGCTTCAATTTCAAAACCTCTATTTTGGAAAATCAAGGCTGAGTTGCTATTGGGACCCCATCCCCTGAGTAGCTTCAGTCCCATCCCCTTTAGATGAGACGCCCTTCTCTGCCTGACTGCAGTCTTCCTCTTGAGGAACCTGGGGGTTATCAACTGCAGAGACAGAGGGAATGATACTGGGTGGGCAAAGAGAGCAGATATCAGCCACCCCACCATAACTTCTGCTGGAAATATATTCCCCTGGGGCTAAAAAATTGTATCAGAAAGGCCAGCAAATATGCACCCCTGGCCTGAGTCTCAAGTCCTCTCTGTGACAACTGTGCTCCTTCTTTGGGGACATTTCTCCACCTGGCTGAAGAAAATCATTGTCATTAGGCAGCTCCCTTATTAAAAATCAGCAGATGGCAATGGAATAAACTGTTCTTATTAACACTAATATTCTTCCCCGGCTCAGTCCCTGGTAATTTTCTTTGCCAGGAAAGAAGGAAGGCAGGAGGCATTCCCAAATCAAGCCTGTGGTGCCTAAGGAGATTAATCTCATGGAATGGTCAGCATTTGTAGCAGAGATGTCCTCATGTCATTACACCATTTGGGTTGTCCATGGGCAGTCAGCATGATTCCTAAGGCTTCCAGAGCCAGTGCAATTCCCATGCCTGTGTGTGTGTGTGTGTGTGTGTGTGTGTGTGTGTGTACTTCTTTTTCTTTGTAACTTCATTTTCTTTATGACTTTGTTCTCTCTGACCACATCTAAGATTCCTTCATATGAAATAGCTAAAAAGGTGGAAGGTAATGTTTGAATTGTTTATTATAGAGTGGGGAAGGGAGCTGAGGGTGGTGGCTTGTGTAAGTCCCAGAGTCTAAAGAGCCAAGAACTAGGAGCTCCAATGTCCAAAGGCAGGAGAAGATGGATGTTTCAGCTCAAGAAGAGAGAGAGGGAGAATTCGCCCGCCATCATTTTGCTCTATTCAAGCCCTCAAGGGATCTTTACTCAGTCTACTGATTCCAATGTCAATCTCTTCCAAAAACACCCCCAGAACTAATGTTCCACCCACAATCTGGGCATCCCTTAGCCCAGTCAAGAAAATAAACATTTTCTCTCTTGTATATTTAAGTTTCTCAAAATCTATCCACTTGGCAGGCTGTGTTTAGGACTCAAATATTAGTTTATATTCAGCCTCTGGCCCAGAGCAGAGCATCTTTCTCCAGGACAGGTTGGCCTACTGCTGTTCCCCTTCTCACCTGGAGGGACAGCCTGTGAGCCTGAGCCCAAGGTGTCTCTTTCTAGAGGACACAACGTTATCCAATGTGTCCCTGAGGCAGACTGCAGCTAAGGAGACACAGAGTTCTGTATCTAGCACCAAACTGGACTTGGAGTCTCTGTTCACAGACTCTCAGCCCCTCCCTCCCTCTCTCCCTGTCTGGGTTGGGCTTGTGGAGGAAGAGTGAGCTTCCTACAAGGACCACACTGTTGTTCTTCCCATCAATGCTGGGTTCTTGCAGGATCACAGGTCTCTTTGTGTATATCCTTCCTCCTGTTTGGAATAACATTTTCCATTTTCCTTCTCTTCCCAGATACCCTTTTCTCATCCTTTGAGTTCAACAGATGTCTCTTCTGGTTGCAAGTGACAGAAGCCCACACAGAAAAGGCTCAGACCAAAGAGAAATTTATGGGCTCCTGAAACCGTATGTCAGAGAGAGATTGGGCCAGGGCTGGGATGTGACCCCGGCTCTTTCTTGGTTTCTCCTCGCCGCTTCTCTCTCTCCTGCAGCCTCACAGTCTCAGACAGGATTCTTTCAAGAATTGCAAACTTGGCTGAAGACCTTCCTGTCCCCTTTCTTACCTCCCATGTACAGGATGGGGGTGATGATCCCACTTCTCTGACTCTCACCCAGAAGTTAGGAACTCCTTAAGGTAAGAAGTCTTTTCTGATTCAATTTGGTACAAACTGTGTCAAGCAGAAAGCATGGTAGTTGTGATTACTGAACACCTGCTGGCTAAGTAAATGGAGAATGTCAAAATGGTAATTTGATCAGAAAAAAATTAGTCAAATGTGAAAAATAAACTAAAATGTACTTTTTGTTTCTGTTAGATGGTGACAATGGGTTGATTAAACCCACAGGTGTTTTTTTTTTAAATTAATCTCAAACTCCCATTTGTGTCATGTTTTGTCATTTATAAGGAGCTTTCACATAAGCCCATGTAATTCTCACGCCACTTGCCTGAGCAGGTGGGTCATTTCGTGTGTTTCTGGGTTTGGTGACGGACTCCCAAAGGCTGGAGCCCACCAGACCTGGATGTCTCATGGGGGTGTCTCGTGGAAGTTTCTAACCCCTGGGGTCCTTAATCTCCTTATCTATGATATGGGGGAAAGACCAGCAGTAACAGATTCCATCCCACCCCCAAGCACATTGTAAGGATGGACGAGATGCTGTAACGAATTGCCACCACCAGCGACTTAAAACAGCGCTGATTTATTCTCTCGCACTTTCATAGGTCGGAATTCCAGCATAGGCCTCACTGGGCTAAAATCAAGGCATCTGAATGGTGGTGCTTCTCTCCGGAGGCTCCAGGAGAAGATGCTTCCTTGCTTATTTGGGTTGCTGGGAGAATTCAGCTTCTTTCATTGTAAAACTGAGGTCCTCTTTTCCCCGCTGGCTGTCGGCTAAGGACCTTTTTTTTTTTTTGAGACGGAGTCTCGCTCTGTCGCCCAGGCTGGAGTGCAGTGGCGCGATCTCGGCTCACTGCAAGCTCCGCCTCCCGGGTTCACGTCATTCTCCTGCCTCAGTCTCCCAAGTAGCTGGGACTACAGGCACCCGCCACCACGCCCGCCTAATTTTTTGAATTTTTTTTTTTTATTATACTTTAAGTTTTAGGGTACATGTGCACATTGTGCAGGTTAGTTACATATGTATACATGTGCCATGCTGGTGCGCTGCACCCACTAACTCGTCATCTAGCATTAGGTATATCTCCCAATGCTATCCCTCCCCCCTCCCCCCACCCCACAACAGTCCCCAGAGTGTGATATTCCCCTTCCTGTGTCCATGTGATCTCATTGTTCAATTCCCACCTATGAGTGAGAATATGCGGTGTTTGGTTTTTTGTTCTTGCGATAGTTTACTGAGAATGATGGTTTCCAATTTCATCCATGTCCCTACAAAGGACATGAACTCATCATTTTTTATGGCTGCATAGTATTCCATGGTGTATATGTGCCACATTTTCTTAATCCAGTCTATCATTGTTGGACATTTGGGTTGGTTCCAAGTCTTTGCTATTGTGAATAATGCCGCAATAAACATACGTGTGCATGTGTCTTTATAGCAGCATGATTTATAGTCATTTGGGTATATACCCAGTAATGGGATGGCTGGGTCAAATGGTATTTCTAGTTCTAGATCCCTGAGGAATCGCCACACTGACCTTTGACAAACCTGAGAAAAACAAGCAATGGGGAAAGGATTCCCTATTTAATAAATGGTGCTGGGAAAACTGGCTAGCCATATGTAGAAAGCTGAAACTGGATCCCTTCCTTACACCTTATACAAAAATCAATTCAAGATGGATTAAAGATTTAAACGTTAGACCTAAAACCATAAAAACCCTAGAAGAAAACCTAGGCATTACCATTCAGGACATAGGCGTGGGCAAGGACTTCATGTCCAAAACACCAAAAGCAATGGCAACAAAAGCCAAAATTGACAAATGGGATTTAATTAAACTAAAGAGCTTCTGCACAGCAAAAGAAACTACCATCAGAGTGAACAGGCAACCTACAAAATGGGAGAAAATTTTCGCAACCTACTCATCTGACAAAGGGCTAATATCCAGAATCTACAATGAATTTTTTAGTAGAGACGGTCTAGATCTCCTGACCTCGTGATCCGCCCGCCTTGGCCTCCCAAAGTGCCGGGGATTACAGGCGTGAGCCACCGCGCCTGGTCGGCTGAGGGCCATTTGCGGCTTCTGGAGGCGGTCAACACTCCTCGGCTCATGGCTCTTTCCTCTATCTTCAAATCCAGCAATGCCAAGTCAAGTCCTTCTCACCCTCCAAATTGCTCCTGCCTCCTCTGCTGCGTCTCTAGGACTCTCCTGATTCACTCTCCTCTTCTGATCTGCCTCTCCTGGATCATCCAAGATAATCTCTTTATTTTCAGGTCAGTTCAATGCCTTGTGACATATCCTCAGGCATAAAGGCAGCGGGGAGAAGGTCACAGGAGCCCAAATCCCACCTATCACAGGGACTTAGGCTTTCCACCTGTGAATCTCAGCACTGTGCTTCTAGAGACTCGGTTTGTCACGGCTGAGAAAATACGGTGATTGCAAGAGCAGATTCGGATGCCAAACTTGGCCAGGGTTAATCCCATCTCCAACACCTCCTAGTTGTGTGATCTGGGGAAAGTCACTTACTGCCAAATACCTCAGTTTCCCCATCTGAAATATGGATATGATAATTATGTTTCTCCCTCATAGGCCCCTTGTGAAGATGAAATATAGCTGTCAGTTATAATCATTACCACCATATTTGCACAAATATTTGCATTTATTCATTTACTGGTGTCCTTTCTATCTACTATTGAAAAGCTATCTCTAGAACAGTTTACAATCATCCCAAGGACAAGGCAGGGATGATGATAATGACCTTTCACTTTGAGTAGAAAGCATTTTATCTACATTACCTAAAAGTACCCTCACAAAAAAAAAAAAAAAAAAAAAAAAAAAAAAAAAAAGACCCTGTGAAGTGGATACTCCCATTTAACAGATGAGAAAACCGAGGTGAGGAGAGGTAAGGGGCTTGTTGCATATCTTTGGATAACCTAGACCAGTAGGGGTGGGGTTAGTCTGCCCTGATGAGGAAGAGGGACATGGGAACCCTATGAGGCATCAGTACAAGCTGTATTTTTTATAGATAAAATAATTTCTATTCAAAGTAAAAGGTAGTTATCATCATCCCTGCCTTGTACTTGAGATGATTGTAAACTCTGGTCTAGAGATAAATATCTAGTAATAGGTAGAAAAGACACCAGTGAAATAAATAAGTACAAATGTTTGTGTAAATATGGGATAATAATTACAGCTGACACATATTTTTCATCTTCACAAAAGGCCTATGAGGGAGATACAAGCCCTGCAGCCACACTGATATATAGAGCTGCAGTTTCATATGGAAATGAGTTTATAGCTCAGGTTTTAGGGAATAAAAGGTTGAGAAACTTTGGACCAGACCAGTGATTTCCAACTCTGACGGCACATCAGAATCAAGAGGACTGGAAAAACAGACCAAGGTCCAGCTGCTACCCCAGTGAGATTCTTAAATAATCTGGCACGACATCGACTGACAATATTTTTTTAAAGCTCCCCAATAAGATTCTAAGACCCTCACATCTTTATAAAAAGGAAGGATGGATTTTTTGACTCTCTCTCTCTCTTTGAGATAGGATCTCATTTTGTTGCCCAGGCTGGAGTGTAGTGGTGCCATCTCACTGTAACCTCGACCTCCTGGGATTGATCAATCCTCCCACCTACCACACCTGGCTAATTAATATCTTGACTCTCTTGTGACTCTGCTGGGTATCTTTTCCTCCAAGTTGTTTTTGTTTTGTTGTATTTTTTTTTCTTCCCACCTTTGTCTTTCCTGTTAGAGGTTTTCCTCCAGAGTTTGGGGGCCCTTTGCTGACTGTTCATATTTAAAGGAGAGAAACCGGCCGGGCACGGTGGCTCACGCCTGTAATCCCACCACTTTGGGAGGCCAAGGCAAGTGGATCATGAGGTCAGGAGATCAAGACCATCCTGGCTAACACGGTGAAACCCCGTCTCCACTAAAAATATGAAAAAAAAAAAAAATTAGCCAGGCATGGTGGCAGGTGCCTGTAGTCCCAGCTATTTGGGAGGCTGAGGCATGAGAATGGCGTGAATCCAGGAGGTGGACGTTGCAGTGAGCCAAGATTGTGCCACCGCACTCCAGCCTGGGCGACAGAGCAAGACTCCATTTCAAAAAAAAAAAAAAAGTGACAAACCGAAAAGCCTCCCTGAAACTCTGGGTCCAATAGCAGGGCCTGACAAGTGGGGGATGTTTCTGGAGGGTGATGTGGCTGGGTTGGCTCATCTCAGGGTCACTGTCAGTATTCACAACTTCCTCTTTGCCATTTCCACCCAGGCTCCTCTGTCTCCAGCCTGGAGGGAGGGCGCAGAGGGAGCTGGTGAGCCTGGCTGCCTGCCTTCTGCAGCTGACCTCCAGAAGTGACCAGGGCAGCATCCAGGTTGGTAGGGGGATGGTATCCAAAGGGTCTAGAGACTCAGGGAATCTGTCACACTCATGCCCCCAACTCAATTCAGTTGATCATGGTGCCCTCAACACCTGAGACTTTTCGATTCTCTGCACAATGAACTTAATTTAGTTTTGGTTGCCCCTGGTGCCGGGTTAACCTGTCTTTGGTTGGCTGAGTCAGTAACTACTTAATCCATTTTGCAACTCTCAAACTCCATCACTGCCATTGTCTCTCCCTTTGCTTTGTTCTTGTGCGTTTATGTCATCTCCCACTTTTAAAATAAAATGACTTTCCTATATTTTAATGGTATTTCTGAAGAAAGTGAAGTAAAGCAATGGAAATAAGTATGTTTACCTAGAACCTACGTGAACTTTTTATTTGAACACACAGATTAGAGAGATGGAGGGTAAATTATGTTGACAATTCAGTGCTGCCCCTGAAGACACAGGTCTCTCTCTCTGCTACAATGGAAAGCCACTGCCCTCAGGAGGTAGTAGTGAGGTGGGACTGGGCAGCTACTGGGTGGGTGATGTTAAGCAAGTGACTTGGCCTCTCTGGATCACAATTTCTCCATCTGGAAAATGAGGATGGTCACAGTGTTTTCTCGTGCCTGGGGTCATTGTGAGGATTAAATGAGTTAATAAATGGAAACACCTATAACAATATCAGGCACCTAATAATGCTGTGTTTGCTATTTTAGTGTTACTACTTTTTGGTTTCAGGTAGAGGAAAGGTTCTTATTCATATAGACTGAAATGCACTAGCTCGGTTTGTTACCAGCTGCAAAACAGTTTCATCAAGTCACGAAAGACAAAGCTCGGTTCCATATGATTCTAACTGCTCCTTCTTCTTTTCTCATCCGTTTATTCCTGACCCCCAAGATATGAGTTAGGGAAGCACAATCTCTTTTTTATTTTATGACCTTGTTTTCCTTGGTCGGTGTCACACCATTAAACCAAATGCCCATCCCGGCCTTTAGAAATTCAGCATAGCTGGGACTTTAATATCTCTGCAGATGTATGAGGGCAACAGCAGTCAAGAATGCAGCTTAAAGTAAAATCCCCTTTTCATGAGCCCATGAAGACAAATGACAGGAGTCAACTGCCACCAGTCAAAAGGGCCATTAGCATTTTCTTTACTTTAGAGACATTTCAGGCACTTCTTTAACTGCACTCCAGCCAGCTCGCTGGATATTTTGTATGTGACATCCTTCCAAATCTTGCTCAGCTGTCTGAAACCAGGCCAGGGAGTGACCACAGAAAAAGTACTATTGGATTAAACAGACAATGACTGGATTGGATTAAATGGTTCATTTGACATTTAAGAGTCCCTCTGATGCCACTCTTCAGGTTGTACTCCTGCTGAAATGTTGTCATGAACTTAATCTGGCCCCTGACTTTTGCTAAAAGTCAACTTACTTAAGAGTCAAATTTAAATTCGGAAGTATTTCCAGCACAAATTTTTGACTTCTATTGAAAAATCAGAAACTCTGATCCTACTGGCCCCACCTGCCCCCATGGAAGGAAGGAAGCAGCTGGAGCTGAGGATCCAGTGCCTTTTCAGATGGGGCTGTCCACCCACCGTCCTCACCACTCGCTGTTCTCTAAATACATTATATGACTGGTCTCTGAGGTCCTTTGGATGTGTGACCCCTTCTCACATTTACTCATCAAAAACATTAATCACTTGCTATGTTACAAGAACTGTACTAAGCCCTGGAAATGCAGAGAGAGACAGAACATCATCCTTTTCCTCAAAGAACTCAGAGTCAATCACAGGAAAAGTGTAGAAAAGAGCCAGATCTAATCAAGTGATATGTGGGTCATAGCTCCAAGCTACGAGGAGCTGGAGAAGAGGCTTATTGCAATTGCATTGGTCAGAGGGAAATTCGCAGGGCACGTGGTGCCTGTAATAGGCAGAAATAATCCAAGCAAAGAAGCAAGAACCTTTCATCCAGGCATAAGGAGAAGAGTGAACTAAAAGAACATCGTAACATTGTGAAACTGCAAGCATTTCCTAACCCTCTAATGACTCTAACCTTGGGAGCACTTAATGGCTCAAGTGTAATTTGAAGTCTTTTAATACTTTTCTGTAAACCCCAGGTTATTTAATGCTATCTCGTTCACTTAACTCTCTATTTTACAGCACTGGGCCCAGCTGACTACAGTTCCACAGGAAAAGGGGCTGTCTTAGTCACTTTTCATCCACATAGCTGCTAAGTTCATGAGGGGACCCAGCTACGGGCTTTAACTGCTGGTATGGCTGCCTATCTGAGTGTGTGAGCTCTGACTCCAGACTATAATGCTCTCATTGTCAGAGTGGAGGATTATCTACTCTAGATGCCACAGTACTGAGTACAATGTCAGGGAAAAAGGAAAAAAAACAGGTGTACTTTACTTTCTTTTTAATGAATCTGCTAGGGTTTGCATGTGGCCCCCAAAGTTTATGTGTTGGAAAGTTAATCCCCAATGCAATAGTATTGACAGGAGGCATCTTTAATAGGTTACGATGAGTGGATTAATGTCATGAGTGAATTAATGTCCTAGCTCAGGAGTGGGTTTCTCTTAAAGTAAGTTTGTCCCTCTCTTGCACTCTCTCACTCTGCCCTCACTTGCCCTCAGCCTTCTGCCATGGGATGATGCAGTAAGAAGGCCCTCACCAGATGCCACTGCCATGCTCTTGTGTTTTCCAGCCCCCAGAACCATAGGCCAATGAATTTCTATGATTTATAAATGAGCTATCTCAGGTGTTCTGTTATAGCATCACAAACAGACTGAGAAAAAAATGAATAAATAAAGAGATGTCGAAATCATTCCTCAAAATGAAAGAAAATGAGATTTTAAAAGCTGTTTCTCTAATCCAGAAGTTGGCAGACATCTTCTGTAAAGAGTTATATAGTAAATATTGTAGGTCTCTGTTGCACCTAAACATAACATCATGCTCAATAGTTCTGTTATAAGGTTATTAGATTCTCTTATAATGTGAAAGTAGCCACAGACAATATGCAAATAAATGAAGTTGGCTTAGTTCTAATAAAACTTTATGTATAGACACTGACATTTCCATTTTAAGTTATTTGCATACGTTACAAAATAATATCTTGTTTCAATTTAATTTAAACATTTAATAATATAAAAGTAATTCTTAATTCATAGCTCTTACAAAACTAGGTGGTGTGTTAGATTTGGACTTCAGAATGCCATTTCCTGAGCCCTGCTAAGTCAATTTAAGCAGATTCTCAGCTCCTGGAGCTCAGCTGTGGAAAGGTAATCACCTGTTGAGTGTAGACCTGTCTTTCATTAACGGAAACTAATATATATGGAAAAACCCATCTGTTTTAACTTAATCTAATGTGGTTGTTAAAGGCTCCTCTCCCTTTATTATCTAATGTGAAGTACAGGCAATAAAATTCCACACTGACTCCATTGGGAAGCCAAACAATTAAACAACTAGGCAATTAATGGTGTAATTAAAAACTTTTCCATTATATTATTTAGTACCCATCAAGAAAGGTTGGCCTTCCATGATTCAAACGCCCTTACTAAATGTCATTACTTGGAGCCAAAGGCCTCTATTCACACAGACGCACAGATAGGACGGGGCAAGGAGTGTGGAGTCAAAGACACCTGGCTCACCCTCACTGGACTAGGGGCCTGATGAGCATGTGACAGCTCCAAGAAGCCATAACACAATGTGAGGCTGTAGTGGATCCTTTCATTTTCATCATCTCTGAAGACTACTCTGAAACTTCCCCCCAAACTGTCCCTAAAAAACAGCTCACAGACTACGTGCCGCCATGACCCCAATCACTGTTACTTCTGAATACTCCTTCTTCCTCAGCATAACATTATCGCCCTGAGAATAGGGACATGCCTGTTACCAGAGCAACCAACCAGGTGTGATGCTTCACGTGTGGTCTCAGCCCAGCCTCTCTGCTCTGTTTACCTAACTGCATCTGGGCTGGGCCCTGCTTCTCACTCCTGTGGTCAGATGATCACTTTCCTTTTTTACTTCTATCTGTATAAGTTTAACTCAGTGGCCTTTGTGTAGGCTGGCTTAAAAATGATGTCATTCACTGTCTATTTCTTCACTCCCATCTAGTCTCCTAAATTTCTTCCTTCCAGCTTACCCTGTCTTCTTATCTTACACTCTGTCGAAAGATCTCTTCATCAACGCCCACCCACCACTCAACTCCAGACCCTGGAATTATCTCACCATGACCTCTATCTTTTCCACTCAGAGAAAGCCACGTTCTCTGTCAGTCTCTCATCAAGGTGTACAAAGCTGATCAAACTACCTAAGTCAAGGTATAAATGACTGATATGTCTCTGTATTCCCAAAAGATATTTGTTCTTTTCAGCAAAGTCACCTGAGTGACCAAATTTGAGGATATTCCAAGAAAGCATTGAAAAGGAGGCTGCAGGGTAGGGTGTTTCCGGGGCCCTTGATTGAGGAGGCCTGGGTTGCACCATCTGATGCTCCCATTTGTACATTAATTCATTGAACCAAACATCAAACCAAGCACCGGGTATATGAGCTCAAAAAGTGGACAGTGCAGAAAAAGAAGCACTGCGATCTGAGAATGCTGGCCTTGGTCCAACAGATACAAATCTTAGAGTAAAATATGTTCCCACTGTGAGCTCCAGGGTCCTCATACATTAAATAGGGATAATAACACCTCCTGCCCAGTAAGCAAGACTTCAGGCACATGGATTGTCCTGGAAGGAGACACAGGCACCCCTCCACTGATTTTCTTTAAATGTTTGCTCAAAGTTAATACAAAGACTAATTTGGCTAAGAAGGGCAAGAAGTGGAACATCCATTTATCCATCAATGCTATGAGCAATTGTGCTCTGGCCCCTAAGAATACATCCCACCTAGAAAAAGCAAAATCTGTGAAGTTTACTGAACCCTTCCTAGTTAGGAGAGAATTTTGTATTTCTAATTAGAATCAGGTTTTCACTCTATCAGGTACAATAGTACATTTATCATAACTAAGAAACTAAACTTGGGTATGTTGCTATTCAATAAAACCCACACTTTATTTGTATTTCACCAGCTTTTTTTTTTTTTTTTTTTTTTTTAGACAGTCTCACTCTGTCACCCAGGCTGGAGTGCAGTGGCTTGGTCTTGGCTCACTGCAAACTCCACCTCCAGGTTCAAGCGATTCTCCCACCTCTGCCTCCTGAGTAGTTAGGACTACTGGTGCGTGCCACCACACCCAGCTAATTTTTGTATGTATTTCACCAGCTTTTTTACTGCCGATCTCATTTCAGGATCCAAACCCAAATATCACATTGAATTTAATCATCATGACTCCTTCATCTATGCCCACTCATGGCTGCTTCTCAGACTTGTTTTTTTGGCCATTACCTTAAGAGAGGTTTGAGGAGGATTGGCCAGTATTACTAATATTTTATCGAATATTCTCAGTTTGGGTTTGTCTGATTTTTTTTCTCATGATTAGACTGAGGTTATGTGTTTTTGGAAGAAGACCACAGACATAAAGTGCCATTCTCACCACATCCTATGAAGGCCACATATTGTCAATATGACTTGTCATTGTTGATGTTAATCTTGATCACCTGCTCAGGGTAGTGTTCACCGTATTTCTTCATTCTAACATTATTCTTTTTACACTTTTCCAGCTCTATTTTTTGAAAGCAAATCATTAAATCCAACTCTCATCCGGGGGAGGGATGGTGAGAATTAAACTCCACCTCCCAGAGAAAGGAGAGAGAGTGGCTACATAAATTTTTTGTAATTCTTGCTTAAAGGAGATTTATCTGTTCTTCCCATTTATCTGTTCCGTCATTTATTTATATCAGTAGGGACTCATGGATCTTTTTACTTTATGTTTGGTTACTCCAGTTGTTTCCACTTTAGTCCTTGAGAGCTTTTTCGGGTTGTCCCCTGTGTCTTTGACATGCCCCATCCTTTTGTTGTTATGAGCCCTCTTTTACATTTGGCCCTATGGATTTTCTTGTATCTTCCAATTATATTTAAGTGGATTTTTGACATTGAAACCTTTGTCATACTGGTGCTAAAACACTTCTTTAAACATCGATATTGAAAATTTATGGAGTTTGAAATTTTATAGCTTTGTTTTTCTATCAATACAGTGAGGTGAAACGTGATTATGGAAGAAAAGAAAGCCAGGATGATATTGTCCCTCTCCTGCCTGAGGCTTCTGCAAAGCCGACTCTTCATTCACTGGGCCTCCTTCCCCACCTGGTTGATTCTGACTCGGGCTCCAAACCCATCCCACCAGGCATGGGGGCTGCTGTCTCGGGGATGCCTCCCCTGCATACACACTCACAATCGGCAAAGCCTCTTTCTCCTTAGGCCCAGAGCCCGTGGGAATAAGCCATTCTCATCCTCACCTGATTATGTGATTGAGTCCTGGGACCAGTGGGGCCAGTGACCAACCTCACAGCATATGACTGTCCACCCACCAGTCTCTGCTGCCTTCTGAGAGCCACAGCAACCCTGGGGGAAAGGCAAACTCATCACCCTGGGGCCCAGAGACCTTTGCCTTGTCTGTTTTGGATGGGCAGCTGGTCATCCTCTCAAGCATAGTGCGGTATCAGAAAGAAAAGTGAAGTGATAAAGAATTTATTTCCCAGGTAAAATCACCAGGCTTCTGGCTACATGTCAATATATTTCAAAATCCAAACTAACTCATTGGAAGGGTGGGGGAAAAGAGAGGTTGAGAGAGGTTTGGCATATTTTGGAATATTCCTTTGGAATTTTGGAACATATTTTATTTCTGAATAAAGCAAACTGTAGTCTTCCAAAAACACATATCATGTTCAATTTGGGTAGTATCCTTGCAAGTAGATGCTTTTATGCCTATATAAAATGTATCCTTGATGTGTTACCATGAAACATACATGACACAAGTACATATTACAGACAAATTCTTGGTGAAAAATTTCAATATTCCTCCTATTCTTCTCTACCAAAGAAGGCTCTTTTAATAATTTTAGTCTTTAATTTTCCAGTATTATCTTCCAGAATATCATAATGATAGCATTTATCGACGTTAGGTAATGCCTGTGGGATTCCCACAGGACAGGTGAGGTTTTATTCTATAATTATTCACATGGCCCCTCTCCTTCAGGGAGTGAGAGGATTGCTTTTAGTTGTCCTTGGTATCACCTTCCTAATTCCACAGAAGGTGCTAATGTCTCCATTACTTGTTCTTTTGCCTTTCAGCAACACACTGATGTGCCACTCTAGTAAGTGAAGATGCTTGAGCTTTCCGTATCTTATCACTCTTCCTTTTGTTCCCATCTGGCCTCCTCCTACTTTCTGTCAGCCACATTTTTAGTTATAATATAGCATTAAGGTTATTAAAACTTATACTCCATCCAGCAAATATACCCAAGACTTAAGCACATTCTCCCAAGTTGACCCGTCTACCAGAGGCCCATTAAACAACATTTGCATAAATAGAATTTTTTGTCTGTAGGTCTGTGAGGATGAGGCAAAACAGAGGATGCAAAATGTTGAGTCCAGGCCTTCCCTGGTACAAACTAACTCCCCAGCCAATGACATTTATCCAGTATTAGTTTCAAGCTCTGAGCTATTTCTGGATACATTGACTGAACAAAATGTATATAACTGTCTTGCCATTACCAGTCTTAAGCAGTATTTCATTTAGCTGTCACGTTAAAGGTTATTTTCTTAACCTTCCATGTTCCATAAGCCGTGTGTTAATTTGATGTATGCATAGTGTGACGAAGAAAATGTTATTCTTTGAATAGCTGCTCCTAGCATTTTTCTTTTTTTTGTAGTAGGTATGAGTTTCCATCCATGAACTCAGCTCTGGAAGAATGGAAACTTCTATGTTTATATATGACTATATGACTCAGGTTGTCTTTTGAGTTTTATTGCCCAGAATGCTTGAGAAAATACCAGTAAATGCTGATAAAATTTTCTCACACTTAATTTTTGGATTGAGTTGTATCTCAGATACAGGACATTAATATAGTGCAGAAGGGTGTGTGTGTGTGTGTGTGTGTGTGTGTGTGTGTGTGTGTGTCTGGTCATCTCATCATGGTAGAATTCCCAAGTCAACTACCCTTGTCTGATTATCTGGTTAGTGTGATTAGCGTGATTGTTTTTCCTTCTGCTTATCATAAAGTCCAGTGGTTCTCCTTTCTAAGTCTCTACTTTCTTGATGCATGAGAATTATTTATACTCAGGAAGCTCCAGGCGATGGTAGGACCACTTCGATATCTGGGCACCTCTGCTGCTGCTATACCATGTTCAGTGTGGAAGACACCATGATGCTGGCTCAGGCACATTTTTCAAGACATACTACATGGGGATTTATTTAACCGCAATTATGATAAGATTATCTTTGCATATGTGGTGCTTTGAAGGTTATGTCACTAGAGAAAACTGATCTATGGACAATTTGTTATAGCAAAAGCACAAAAATATGTCCATTTGGGAAGATTTCTGCTAAAAATAACAGTATGTTCAACTACTAATATCTAAAATACTGAAGACATTTAATCACCCATAACACAACATCTTGGGACACAGGCAGTGCTGGGTTTGTTCAGCAGCTCTGAGAGCTTATGGCATCCACATGTTTATGATTTTCTTGGCTTTTTTTCTGCTGACTGCAAATGGCTCCACAGCCCCAAGCATCATGTTCTCAGACGCCAGCATCTCAAGCAGAGAAGATAGAGTGGGCAGAAAAGGGACCTCATCCACAGTGTCATCTCTTCTCAGGGGGCTAACCTCCCCCAAATTCTCCCATATAGCTCATTGGCCATAGACTCAATGCAACCAAGTACAGCAGAAAAGAATAGGATTCATCACCCAAAGGGGCAGGCAAATCATGATTCATCTTTGCAGCTTTGGGAGGAAAGTATCTTCCATGGATATTTATCTGGCAACACAGTACTTGAACAAAATCAGAGTACTGTTTTCATGAATGAAGTAACCATGCAGTACATGTACTCTCAATTATTATTTCTTTACAATATTTCATATATGGTCATGAACCATATATGGTCAATTCCAGAATTGCCCTCTTTGGACTTCCGCCTACACCAAATTGTTCAAAACTCATGGGAGTTAATATAGTCTAAATGGAATTGATATTCCTTGAAATGCCAAAGAAAAGAAATGGCCTCTGCCAGTCCACTGCTGTCATTACTCCATACTGCCAGATGGTGTCATTGTTGAAGAGTGGTTCTGTGCAGTTCTGCTGCTGTAATTCTCCACTGCTGAGAAAACTGTCCAGGACCAGTTGTTTGTGAAGGTAGAGTGCTTTGTACTTCATGTGCCTCTTTAGCCATTGTTTTGTGCTGGGGTAATCTCTGGCTCCCTACGTCAGCCAGCGACACACTACACAGAAACCAGCGACGTGAAACCAGTCTTTGTGTCCATGGGTTAAACAAGTCTGCCAGCCTAAATCTACTCCTTCCATAAGATCTCTTTATTTTGTGGAATTAATTGTCCTTTTCTCTCACTGGATCTTTATCTGTGTGGCCCTGTTCTCTCTAACTTCAAATCTTGGGATACAGGAAGTGGGTTATCCATTTTCCCTTCCAGGAGGACATGGGCTCATTTATCAAATTAACTTACCTTTTTTTCAGTATCAGTTTGGTATATCATAAGAGGATGGGTTATATCTTTTGCTAATCCAGTAGAATGCAGGTACCATCATTGTAGGACTCTTGTTCAACTTTTTCTATCCTCATCCATAGTGCATGGCAGATAATGGAAGCCCATCTCCTTAATTAATTAGTATAACCACCCAGTTCTTGAATATGACTCTTTTAAGACAATGGGCATTTATATAATAAAGGAGACAACTACAATAATTTTTCCCCCGAACAAAGATGATCCTAGTTGGTTGGCTGTCTCTCTGTGTAACAAAAGTAAACCTGGAATAATTAAAATATACCCCTCAACAGGATCTCCCTTTTGTCTTAAATACCCTGTCACACATTAAAATAGTCTCTGAAAAGATTATTTTACTATAGCATTATAAATAAATGCTACTTCCTAAAAGGGAAGTAGAATTTATCTTCTTCTCATTCTTTATCTCTTCACATTCTTAAACAGAATATTTGACACCTTGACCTGAGTATCTTTATTTGGCCTGACTCACTGTCAGATACCAAGGATACCCTTGGTAACAGAGATTAAGTGTGAGCCTTATACCTGCTAGTCCTTATCTTCCATTCATGGAACTGCTTTAGCTTTCCGAAGGTGTCTCTGTTGGTACTCCTCATCCATATGGCACATCGCCAACCAAGCATGGATATCGCTATCCACTTTCTCCATCTACACCTAAGCAGTAAGCCCTTCTGGGCAAAGCCCTACAACAGAGAGGTGACACCATGTGAAACGACTGGATCTTAAATCCTTTGCAGCAATCCATTTATAGTTTCCTGCTCTTCAACTTTCTCTAACTGCTACTTCAAATCATTTTGTTTTCTTCTGACAGCCTTGCCTTCTCACTTACTCTTGGTAGATGACTGTGATCCTCCTTTTGCACAGAGAAACCTGGTCTTCAAAAGTCAGGGCTTTTCCTTTTTTCTACCTGTTGAAATAAAAATGGCCTCTCCTTCCATCTATAGCCAGATCCTCAGATTAAGGATTTCCACCCCCCCATAGCCTCCCTTGCTGTTGACACGATAAATTCATTTTGACTTTGTCCTGCAGTCAGCTTCTCCTTCTCAATCAAACCCTTCTCATCTGAAATATCTCTTCCATTCTGAACAAACAACAGATAAAATTGTCTTGGGCTCCATGTCTCCTCTCCATCTACTGTACTCTGTTCCTCCCACTCACAGTTAAACATCTTAGTAGAATTTTCTCCTCTCCATCTACTGTACTCTGTTCCTCCCACTCACACTTAAACATCTTAGCAGAATTTTCTATACAATCTGCCTCCGTTTCCTGACCTTGTACTCTTTCCTCCCACCACTGTTATCTGGTTACTACACTCCTTCCTCACTCCTTCAGGCTTCTGCCCTTAGCTCTTGCTAAAATTGCCATGTTGTCAATTCCAAAATATATACTTTCATCAAATCAATATTTGCATTATATTTTAACAGCATTTAAAAATGTTTGCAACCATCTTTTTCCAATTTCTTGAAGCATTATCTGCCCAACAGACACATTTTAAGTTTCACTTTCCTGACGTTTCTTCTAATTCTTAGGTCATGACATATCCATCTCAATCACAGATTCACCCTCCTGTAGTTAGCCATTATATATTGGAATTTCTCTTCAATGCTACTTACAGAATGTCTCTACTTTGTATTTTATCCCTAGAAATGCTTACCCTCCATGTGGTCCATTTTTCCCATGTTATAACTGCTCAGAGTACCTCATTTCTTCCTTTTTTTAAACAGAAAACATATCTCTTTTTATATTTATTCACTCATTAGCATGATTATTTGATCAATAAATATTTGTTAAATAAGTAAATAATGGCCTATTTTACAACCAAGTAAAAGTCTACTCAAAAATTATTTTTTTTCTGGGGATAGGGTCAAGATGGCAGACTAGAAGCAGCTCACGTGCACCACTCTCACAGGGAGGAAACAAAAGGGCTAGTGAACACTAATCCTGCAGGTTGATCATCTCAGAAACCATGTTAGGATTCACCGAGGCAGCATAGGAACACAGCAGAGAAGAGTGAAGCTGGACACAAGCCTGTCTGGGCTCATCATGGAGCCAAGAGAACCTCTCCAACACAGGAAAGGGTGAGTAGGTGAGAGCCCCCAGGGGGATTCATGCTTTCCACAAGCACCTGTGCAAGACTAGGAATGGGATAGTCCCCCTGCTTCTGCTGCATCCCTCACTGCACTTCTATACTGAGTCGGAGAGCCAGTCAGGTGTTTTGCAGAGGCAACTCTTGAGTCCAAGGAGACTGCTACAAGTCTTGGGCCCTGGAGGAGCAAATCAGCACTGGCATCGTAGCCCCTATAGAGGTCAAAGTTGCCTTGCCTGGGAGCAATGAGATTGCTCCACCCACGCTTGCCAGACAGAGCTTGGCACCAGCTTCCAGCCCAGAGGTCCTGCTTCAGCCCAAACTTAGCCAGCTGTTGCACCAACCTCCACCACTGATAGCCAGGTGGGCAACATTTGCTAGAAATTCCAGCCCAGTGTTCACGCTTCTGTGTGAACTCAGCTGGAGGACACAGCTTACTGTTGTTCCAGGAAACACTCAGGTGGCAGAACACATGACCCCACTTGCTCCTGCCACTGGTAGCCAGGAGGGCAATGCCTGCTAGAGCTTCCAGGCCAGTGGCCCCACTTCTGTGTGAACTCAGCTGGAGGGTGCAGCTTCCTGTTGTCCCAGGAAACACCTAAACAGCAGAGTGTATGACTTCACCCACTCCCACTACTGGTACCCAGGTAGACAGCACCTGCCTTCTGGCCCAGTGGTCCTGATTCTGTGGGAACTCAACTAGTGGGTGCAGCCTCCTGTTGTTCCAAGAAACACCTGGGCAGCAGACTGGGCATCCTTACCCACTGTTGCCACCAGTATCCAGGTGAGCCACACATGCTAGAGCTTCTAGTCTAGTAGTCCTACTTTTGCCTGAATTTGCTGAGGGTCATAGCCTCCTGTTGCTCTGGGAACCCCAGACTGCAGGGAAGGCAACTCCTCCAACCTCTGCCTCTCATAGTCAGATAGGCCACACCTGCTAGAGCTTCTAAACCAGTGGTCCTGCTTCTGCCTGAACTCTGAGGACAGGCACAACCCCATGCTTTCCTAGGAAGCACACAGACAGCAGATTAGGGTCAACCATGGCTCCTGTCTGAGAGGGGCCCATAGACTAGATCACCTAACCAAAGAAATGTGGGCATGGAGACATAATCAGAGAGTTCTCCTCCAAGACCCAGGAATTGAATCAAAGCCAGTCAATCAAACCCATCTTATACCATAATTTAACCCCCAAGGACATCAAAGAAGAAAAAAGCAAAACAATCCATCCAAAGCACAGCAACTTCAAAGACTGAAGGAATATTCGCCCACACAAATGAGAAAGAACCAGGCAAGAACTCTGTCAACTCAAAAAGCCAGAGTATCTTCTTATCTCCAAATGACTGTTCTAGTTCCCTTGCAATGATTCTTAACCAGGCCGAAATAGCTGAAATGTCAGAAATAGAGTTAAGAATGTAGATAGGAATGAGTATCATCCACATACAGGGGCTACTTGATACCCAACCTAAGAAATCTAAGGATTACAATAAAACAATACAGGAGCTACTAGATTAACTGGACATTATAAGAAAGAATCAAACTGATCTGCTAAAGCTGAAAAGCACACTAGAAAAATTTCATAATGCAATCATAAGTATTAATAGTAGAATCAACCAAGCCTAGGAAAGAATCTCAGAGCTTGAAGACTCGCTCTCCAAAGTCACTTAAAAGAAATAAAGAAAAAACAATAAAGAATAATTTTAAAAATGTGAGAAATATGGGATTATGTAAAGAGACCAAATCTACTACTCATTGGTGTCCCTGAAAGAGATGGAGAAAAGCAACTTGAAAACATATTTCAGGATATCATTCATAAAAATTTCACCAACCTCAATTCAGGAAATGTAGACAACCCCTACAAAATACTACACAAGAAAACCATCTGCAAGATGGTCATACTCATCAGATTCCCCAAGACCATCTGCAAGATGGTTATAGTCATTAGATTCCCCAAGACCATCTGCAAGATGGTCATAGTCATCAGATTCCCCAAGGTTGACATGAAAGAAAAAATATTAAAGGCAGCTACAAAGAAAGGGCAAGTCACAAAGGGAAGCCTATCAGACTAATAGCAGACCTGTCAGCAGAAACCCTAAAAGCTAGAAGAGATTGGGGGCCTATATTCAGCATTCTTAAAGAAAAGAATTTTCAACCAATAATTTCATATGCAGCCAAACTAAGCTTCATAAGTGAAGAAGAAATAAGATCCTTTTCAGACAAGCAAATGCTGAGGGAATTCATTACCTCCAGACCTGCCTTACAAGGGGTCCTGAAGGGAGCACTAAATGTGGAAAGGAAAGACCATTATCAACAAAGTACATAGGTACAACATACATTACCTACAAAGTATACTGAAGTACATAGACCAGTGACACTATAAAGCAGCCACACAAACAAGTCTACATAATAACCAGCTTAAAACATGATGACAAGATCAAATCTGCACATACCAATACTAACTTTGAATATAAACAGGCTAAATGCCCCAATTAAAAGGCACAGAGTGGCAATTTGGATAAAGAAGTAAAACCCAATGGTATGCTGTCTTCAAGAGACTCACTTCACATGCAATGACACCCATAGGCCCAAAGTAAAGAGATGGAGAATAATCTACCAAGTAATCACAAAACATAAAAAGGTAGGAGTTGCTATTCTAATTTCAGACAAAACAGACTTTAAACCAACAAAGATCAAAAAAGACAAAGAAGGGCATAATATAATGGTAAAGGGCGCAATTCAACAAGAGGACCTAACTATCCTAAGTATATACATACCCAATACAGAAGCACCCAGATTCAGAAAGCAAGTTCTTAGAGATCTACAAAGAGACTTAGATAACCACACAAGAGTAGTGGGAGACTTTAAGACCCAAATGACAGTATTAGATCACTAAGGCAGTAAACTAACAGATTTTTCGGACCTGAACTCAAGACTTGACCAAATGAACCTCGTAGACATCTACAGAACTCTCCACCTGCAAACAACATAATATATATTCTTCTCATCTGCACATGGCACATACTCTAAAATTGACCACAATTGGGCATAAAGCAATCCTCAGCAAATGCAAAAGAACTGAAATCATGTCAGCCATGGTCCAATAAAAATAGGAATCAATGGTAAGAAAATAACTCAAAACCATACAATCACATGGAAATCAACCTATTCCTGAATGAATTCTGGGCAAATAACAAAATTAAGGCAGAAATCAAGAAATTCTTTGAAACTAATGAGAACAAAGATACAACATAACAGAATCTCTGGGACACAGCCAAAGTAGTGTTAAGAGGGAAATTTCTAACACTAAACTTCCATATCAAAAAGTTAAAAATATCTCAGACTAACAACCTAACATCACAATTAGAGAAACAAAAGCAAACCAATGCCAAGGCTAGCGGAAGGCAAGAAATAACCAAAATCAGAGTTGAACTGAATGAAATGAAAGAAAAACAGAGAGAAGAGCCAAAGGAACACAATCAGAAATAACAAGAGGGACCTTACTACCAACCCCACAGAAATACAAAAATCTCTCAGACACTATTGTGAACACATCTGTGCACACAAGCTAGAAGAAATGGATGAATTTCTTCAACCAAGCCTAGGAAAGAATCTCAGAGGAAAGAATTTCTTCTAGGTCTAGAAGAAATGGATGAATCCCTAGACACAAACAATCTCTGAAGATGGCACAAAGAAGAAATTGAAAACCTTAACAGACCAATAATGAGTTTCAAAATTGAATCAGTAATAAACAGCCTACCAACCAGAAACAGCCCAAGACCAGATGGATTCACAACTGAATTCTTCAGATGTATAAGGAAGAGCTGGTACCATTCAGACTGAAACTATTCCAAAAAATTGAGGAGGAGGAACTCCTCCCTAACTTATTCTATGAAGCCAGCATTACCCTTGACATTAAAATCCAACAAAGATACACCAAAAAAACAAAAAAAGAAAAAGAAAACTTCAAGCCAATATCCCAGGCGAACATAAATGCAAAAATATTCAAGAAAATTCTGCAATCCTGATCCAGCAGCACATCAAAAAGCTAATCCACTACAATCAAGTAGGCTTTACCCCTGGTGTATTCATCTGTTCTCACACTGCTATGAAGAAATATCTGGGAATGGGTAATTTATTAATAAAAAAAAGAGGCTTAATTGACTCACAGTTCTGCATGGCTGGGGAGGCCTCAGGAAACTTGCAATCATGACGGAAGGTATCTCTTCACAGGGTGGCAGGAGAGAGAATGAGTGCCAGCAAGAGAAATGCCAGACACTTATAAAACCATCAGATCTCATGATAATTCACTCACTATCATGAGAACAGCATGGGAGAAACTGCCCCCATGATTCAATTACCTCCACCGGGTCCCACCCTTGACACTTAGGGAATATTACAATTTGAGGTGAGATTTGGATGGGGACACAGAGCCAAATCATATCACCTGGGATGCAAGGTTGGTTCAATATAAGCAAATCAATAAATGTGATTCACCACATAAACAGAACTGAAAACAGAAACCACATGAACATCTCAGTAGATGCAGAAAAGTCTTTTGATGAAATCCAACATCCTTTACGTTAAAAACCCTCAACAAACTAGACACTGAATGGACATACCTCAAAATATTAAAAGCCATCTATGACAAAGTCACAGCCAACATCATACTGAATGGGCAAAAGCTGGAAGCATTCCCCTTGATAACTGGAACAAGACAAGGATGCCCTCTCTTACCATTCCTATTTAACATAGTACTGAAAGTCCTAGCTAGACCAACCAGTCAAGTGAAATAAATAAAAGGTATCCAAGTAAAAAGAGAGGAACTTAAACTATCTCTGTTTTCAGATAATATGATTCTACACCTAGAAAAACCCATAGTCTCTGTGCGAAAGCTCCTTCATCTGATAAACAACTTCAGCAAAGTTTCAGGATACAAAATCAGTATACAAAAAATCAGTAGCATTTCTATACATCAACAACATCCAAGCTGAAAACAAAATCAAGAATGCAACCCCATTCACAATAGCCACAAAAAGAAGAAAATACCTAGTAATACAGCTAACCAAGAAGGTGAATGACCTTTACAACAAGAACTACAAAACACTGCTCAAAGAAATCAGAGATGACACAAACAAGTGGAAAAACATCCAGGCTCATGGATAGGAAGAATCAATATTGTTAAAGTGGCCATACTGCCCAAAGCAATTTACAGATTCAATACCATTCCTATCCTATTCCTATTAAACTATCACTGACATTCTTCACAAAAGTAGAAAATACTATTTTAAAATTCATATTGAACCAAAAGAGAACTCAAATAGCCAAGGCAATCCTAAGCAAAAAGACCAAAGCTGGAGGCATCACAATACCCAACTTCAAACTATACTACAAGTCTATAGTAACTAAAACAGCATGGTACTGGTACAAAACCAGGCATATAAAACAATGGAAGAGAATAGAGAGCCCAGAAATAATGTCACACAGCTACAATCATCTGATCTTTGAAGAAGCCAACAAAAACAAGAAATGGGGAAAGCACTCCCTATCAATAAATGGTGCCAGAATAACTGGCTAACCATATGCAGAAGCTTGAAATTGGGCCTCTTCCTTACACCATATACAAAAATCAACTCAAGATTTATTAAAGACTCAAATCTAACACCAAAAACTATCAAAAACCTGCAAGACAACCTAGGAAATACCATTCTGAACATAGAACCTGGCAAAGATTTCATGAACAAGATGCCAAAACAATTGCAACAAAGATAAAAATTGACAACGGGGCCTAATTAACATAAAGAGCTTCTGCACAGCAAAAGAAACTATCAACAGAGTAAACAGACAACCTACAGAATCAGAGAAAATATTTGCAAGCTATCCATCCAACAAAGGTCTAATATCCAGAATCTGTAAAAAACTTAAACAAACTTGTAAGCATAAACAACCCCAATAAAAAGTGGGCAAAGGACACTAACAGACACTTTTTAAAAGAAGACACACATGTAGCCAACAAGCATATGAAATAATTCTCAACATCACTAATCATTAGAGAAATACAAATCAAAACCAAAATGAGGTACCATCTCACATCAGTCAGAATGGCAATTATTAAAGAGTCAGAAAATAACAGATGCTGGGGTGGTTGTAGAGAAAAGGGAACATTTCTAGGCTGCTGGTGGGAATGTAAATTAGGTCAGGCATAGTGGAAAGCTAGTTAGCAATATCTCAAAAACTTAAAACTACAAAACCGAGAATTACATTTGACCCCACAATCCCAATATTGCGTACATAGCCAAAGGAATGTAAATCATTCTATGATAAAGACACATGCATGTGTATGTTCATTGCAGCACTATTCACAATAGCAAAGACATGGAATCAACCTACACGTCCATCATTGGTAGACTGGATAAAAATGGTGGTACATACACAATGGAATACTATACATCCGTCAAAAATTAGATCATGTCTTTTGCAGCAACATAAATGGAACTGGCAAAGTAAACTAACACAGAAACAGAAAATCAAATATCACGTTATCACTTATATGTGGGAGCTACACCAAGATGGGAACAATAGACTCTGGGGTCTACTTGAGGGTGGAGGGTGGGAGGAGGGTGAGGATTGAAAAACTACCTATCAGAGACTATGCTTATTAGTTGGCTGACAAAGTAATCTGTATATCAAACCCCTGTGACATGCAATTTACCTATATAACAAATCTGCCCCTGAACCTAAAATAAAAGTTAAGAAAAAAGAACCCTTTCCCTGCTTCCTGACACATCCTAAAATATTGTGTCTTGCATAACAGATGACCTTGAAATTCAAAGCATGGCTTCAAAATAAATAGTTTTATTACACTCTCTTCAAAAAATTAATTTTCCTTATTACTCTGGAATAAATAGATTTCTACTTTTTAATAAAAAATGTTCTCCGTCACTAATGTTAGAAAGACTTCCTAACTCCCAAGGTTATACACAAATTTGCCTATATTTTCTCCTAGTAGCTTGATTATGATGATGATACTGATTTCACCTAACAGGCATTGAGTTCTTATTATATGCTGAGTATAATAAAGTGTTCCATTTAATCCCCACAATAACATCTACAATATGGACAGTATTATTATTCCTGTTTCACAGAAACAGAACTAAACCTTAACAGTTTTAAAGGCCTTGACCAAGTTTTGAAGACCAAATGATTCATATAGCCCAGATCGTGAGAGAGTTTGACTCCAAGGGCTGAGTTAATGTGCTACTGCATTCTTCCTATTTCTTTTTTCAAATCTTGTACCAAGACGTTGGTATAATTTCCATAATTAATTATCTTTTCCCTACTGACAGTCACAGATCTTTTCCAGAATTAGACCTGAAAGCAAAACTCTATCTTGGAATGAGCACCTAAACTTCACCACTAGAGCCGTGGGCATCTCCAGGTCTGATTCACTCCCTGTGACCAGGTCCAAAGATCACATGGGAAGGGACCTCCCACTCTTTTTTTTTTCCTGTGGTACACAAGAGGTCCTTGAGATTTCCACTGCTTTTTGTAAATTTGAAGGTCTTTGAGAAACACTAGTTTCATTGACTTTTTTCTTCCTTCGCTTATATTTCATGCAACAAGCAGACTCTCCCCTAGGGCTGCAGAGCATTATTTTAGATCAGGGCAGCAGTGATGTCATAGAAAAAAAAACCTTGAGTTTCCCCTTTTCACCCAGTTGGAATTATTCGCAATTTCTAGAAACATCCTTTACAACCTATAGCAGAGTGGTTCCTGGATCAGTAACATCGATGGGAGCTTACTGAGTAAAAATTCTTAGGTCCCAGACCCAGCAGTCTTTGTTTTCAGAAGCTTTCCAGGTGATTCTGATGTTGAGAACCACTGACTACAGTAGCTTAGCAAGCAAGCAATTAAAACAACAGCATGACAGAATGCAACCTATGTGTTGCTCTTAACATGAGCAGCAGTAGGCAAGTTCAAAGAAGATAGCAAATTCTGGGAACTCGTGTATGACTATGATGATCTCAAGTGCTCTAAATTCCCCACTGGGATCTCCTGTATTTGTCTGTAAGGAATGACTTCCCGTATTGATACAGACAAAATTAAAATAACTGCTGCAAAGAATGCCTTACACACACAGACACCACATTTGCAGGCAAGTCACTAAGCACTGTGTCTTTTTAATGTTCATTCATTTCAGATGGATTTTCTTCTCATTTATCGTCTTGTAGGAAATACCCCAGTTAATAAGGGGTGGGGATAGCTGGGAAGGAGAAAAATTAGGGGAGCAAAGCAAATGATTTGCAGTGTTAGTACTGAAAACCAACAGTTTCAAGCAACAGCCATCCAACATGATCTCGGAGGTTTGGTTTGGTGACACTGTCACCAGGGGTCAGCAGGACTCAGCTGTGAAAAATAACTACATGCAATTGACTGGTCAGGCTGAATTTGGGCCCTAGACAGATATCTCAGACCCCTCTTGAAATTTCTTGGCCTTTTCTAAATTTGAAAGCAGGTGAGAACCAGCAGTCAAAAGCTCACAAAGTGAGATTCTGTCACAAAAAAATAAAGAAGAATTAAATCCTATCATTTGCAGCAACATGGATGAAACTGGAGGTCATTATGTTAGCTGAAATAAATCAGGCACAGAGCGACAAATTGTGCGTGTTCTCATTCATATGTGAGAGTTAAAGTAAGTGGATCTCATGGAGGTAGAGAGTAGAGTGATGGATACTAGAGGCTGGGAAGGGGTGGGGGAATGAGGAGAGGTTGGTTAATGAGTCCTAGTGTTCTGTAGCAGAGTAGGGCAACTATAGGTAACAGTAATTTACTGTATATATCAAAATAGCTGGAAGAGATTCAAAATGTTCCCAACACAAGGAAATGATAAATGTTTAAGGCGATGGAGACCCGAAATACCCTGATTTGATCATTACACATTGTTCGCATTACCAAAATATCACATGTACCCCATAATATGTATAATTACTATGTATCAATACAAATAAATTAAAAATTAAAAATGGATTTTTAAAAAAATTTTATTGCCATAGGTTTTGGGGGAACAGGTGGTATTTGGTTACATGAGTGAGTTCTTTAGTGGTGATTAGTGAGATTTTGGTGCACCCATCACCCAGCAGTACACACTGAACCCAATTTGTAGTCTTTTGTCTCTTACACCTTCCCATCCTTTCCAAGTCCTCAAAGTCCATTGTATAATTCTTATCCCTTTACATCCTCACAGCTTGGCTCCCGCTTATAAGTGAGAACATACAATGTTTGGTTTTCCATTCCTGAGTTACTTGACTTAGAATAATAGTTTCCAGTTCCATTTAGGCTGCTGCAAATGCCATTAATTCATTCTTTTTTATGGCTGAGTAATATTCCATTGTATTTACATGCCACAATTTCTTTATCCACTTGTTGATTGATGGGCATTTGGGCTGGTTCCAAATTTTTGCAATTGGGAATTGTGCTGCTATAAACATGCGTGTGCAAGTATCTTTTTTATATAATGACTTCTTTTCCTCTGGGTAGATTCCCAGTAGTGGGATTGCTGAATCAAATGGTAGTTCTGCTTACAGAGGTTAATTTTTGAAGTTTCTTCTTCTTCTCTCTTTTTTTTTAATGGTGTCTTACTATGTTACCCAGGCTGGTCTCAACCTCCTGGGCTCAACTCCTGGCCATCCTCCACCTCAGCCTCCCAAGTAGCAGGGATTACAGACACGTACCATGATGTTCAGCGTGTAGCTTCTCTAAAAAAATATGAAACAAGTTAGGTCCAAGAAACATCTGTGTGATGCAGTTGAACCCAGTGAAATTCTTTTTTACCCCAAGTTGCAGCCAAATAAAGAGGAAATAAATAACAATTATTTCTCATCACTTGACTTTACTGATTTCACCTGTATTCACTGATTTCTACTTCAATTGCCATTGAATTCTAGTATCAAAGAAGCCAGGACCCCAACTGCTCTGCTCCTCCTCCTCCTTCTTTTAGGGTAACTGTATCTATGCTCTTTTAAAATTGTTCTCTGAGCCTAGCATTCATATTATCTTAAGCATTTAAATGACTGAAGCAAAAAAAAAAGTTCTCATTATTGCTGTCAAGTCATGCAAAGGACAAAAAAATGTATTGATCAAGCAAAGCTAAGTGCATCAGATTTACCTCAGGGAAGAATCCCTTGAAAGATCTTAGTGGAGTTCTTAAAAGGGAAATTAGGGTAGTTTGTTTGCAGGATTTGAGCCTGGGCTGGGTGATTGTGAGATGGGACTCACAGGGCAGGGAGCTGGTTGGGATCGGGCTCTTGACCCCACCTGCCGCGACTTGGATAGGAGCTTAGGCCGCATCAGCCTGACTTGACACTGGTCCATAGAACCAAGGGCCAAATCACTGCATGGTCTCACCTGCCAGGTTTCGCTGTCCCTTTCTGTGCCTTCCAAGGAAGTTTGCCTCATCTTACAATCATACATAGCCATCTCAGGACCTCTTGGCCCTTCTGATCTGCTGAGGGTCTCTTTGGATGAGATATAGATGTCCATGGCACTGCAGAGCATCAGTTTATGATTGCAAAGGTATCACTTCCTGCTCCTTGCCTGAGTCCTGCAATCTGTCCATCATGGGTACTTTTGGTCATCCTGCCTGACACCTGATGGGGAAAGGGGGTGACCTGGTGATGTGTTTAAGCATTCTCCCTGGGGAAAGTGATTCTCTGTATGTCTCAGTTGAACACAGCTCAGATGCTCAGGATTGGGTCTGCAGCTTAGCAGATCTGAGTCTTGCAGCTACTTCTTCAGCTTGAGAGACAGCCAACCCTCTCCCTCATCCCCACTGTGGTTCCTGCCCAGCATCATCTGTGCACCCACCCTCTGCACCCCAGCCCTGTGCCGCCTGGTCCAGCAGGCCTCTCTCTCTCCCAACTTAGCATGTCTCAGAGAAAGGAACTCCCAGATCGAGAGGCCAGCTGGGGAGAAGTCCCTAGAGCCACAATAGAAAGCTGTTCTTATAATCAAAACACATTCAATTTCTTTGGGCCCAATATGCTGGCCTTTTGCACGTGATGTTCTATTCCCTAAGGATGCTGTTTTTGTGATGGAAGATAGGGTGGCCAACCATACCAGTTGGCACAGGACTGTCTTTATTTTGGCATGGAAAGTTCAGCTTTCCAGAAAACAGCTTAGTCCTGGGTAAACTGGGACCGTTGGGAGGACAGTTTGAAGGATGGCAACTCCTCTATTCTCCAAATTGAGTCACTTCCCTAGAAAACCCTCTCAATGGGCCACTCCCCTCAAATGAACACCTAGAACCCTCTCTTCCTAGGAACATCCTGTACCCACCACCAAGAACTCAGACTCTTGAAAACCAAACCTTTTTATCTAGTCTCTGCAGCAAGGAAAATGTAGACTTGTAGAAGGAAAAGCTACAGTGTGAGCCTGGTTCTTGAGAGGAGAATCAAAGCCCATCTTCTGTTCTCTTAGGATCACCTTTCTGCTGAGAAAACAAGGCATAGCTATTTTCTCCATCATATCATCCCAGCTCACAGGGATTTCTCATAGGAAGTGGTTCTCAGACCCGGGTATATATAAGTATTATCTGGGGGACTTGAACAATTCCTCCATGCCTGCACCCCTCTCCTGATTAATTAGAATCTGTGAGGTTTGGCTGGGCATAAAAACAATGAAAACCATCCATTTCTCAGGGAGTGGTGAAGAGAAGGTTTTGTCTTATTTCAGTCATATTTATAAGAAATTCAATAAACAGATCAAGTAGATGACTGTTTCTATATATTATGAACCCAAAATTCCCTTGACTTCTGACCTTTGAAGGCCAAGGCACTACAGTCCATGTAAGACAGGCTGCCCTGCATGCCAAAATTCACTGACATGGAACATTTCTTCATTAACCCCACTGTAAATATTGCAAATTCTTCCGACTTGCATAAATACTGAATGTAAAACTCAAGTGTTTCATAGACTGGGCTGACATATCCCATAATCTCAGGATTTGAGAGCTGGAAGCCTCCCCCACCCATCTTTTTCCATAACTCAATGAAATTAATATTATCAAAATTCTTATTATTAATTTTCTGAGCTCCTTCAAAATCTTCTTTGGCAAACAATGGCTTTATTTTCTAGAGATTTTTCTCAAATTGAATTTTGGTTACATCAGCTCTAGAGAGTACATAGGAGCATGTATACTTAAGCATATTTTTCTCATAAATATAATACACTTGCAACGGCTTTCAAATGATTACCATGGACTCAATCTCGAATGTCATACTTTTACATTAGTTTGACACATTTATAATTGCCTGGAAGGATTTCTTAAACAAGCAGCACTTTTATTGGATCAGAAAATCTTGATATGACCTAAATTTTATGTACAACCTCTATTTATTTCTGTTGTGGATGAAAATGACTAAAGTAATTTAAGATACCACTGAGCAAGAAAATCAGAAAAAGTAAATGGCATGATTGCTGCCTTTTTAAATTCTAATTAAATAATTTAAAGAAGTTTGGATAAAATATGTGATACAAAATAAAATTACCTGGGAAATGTTCAAGACCATGTATTATTTAAGACCGAAGTATGTGAGTAAGAATATTAATAAGGTTGTGCAGATCCGGGTCTGTTTAAATGCGGCCACTAATGAGACAGAACTTTGAAGGTGGTGAGTCTTAAATTAATAACTCCTCATCCAGAAACTCTTGAGAACAAGGATACTGAGTCTCTAAGAGGTTAAGTAGCTTGGGGCTGAGTGACTTTTTCAAGAACTCACTGCTAGTAAGTGGCAGGCCAACCCAGGTCTCTTCTGATTTCCGATCTCAGCTCTTCACCACACTGCTATACTTCCTTTCATCAGGGGAAAGATTACAACATATTCTTGGGGCAGAAACAAACTTTCTTCCAGATACAGGTCAAACTATACCTATTCATAACCAGTTTCTCAAGGTTATTCTCATAATTTAATCATCTTTTAAAAACCATCTTTGTAGAGATGGGGTCTCACTATGTTGGCCAGACTGGTCTCAAACTCCTGGGCTCAAGCGAATCTCCTGCCTTCACTTCCCAACAATTATCTTCTTATGAAGTTTGTTTGAACTCCAGATCATGGCTATTATTATGATTTCTTTATACCTTAGAGAAATTTTCTTTCCCATTGGGGACTTTCAGGAAGATGGTGGTCAATTCTGCAGAACAAAGAGAAACACCCTCTGCCACTGGGTGCTTTACAAGCTGGTGTGGCCCATGATGTATGGAGTGGGTGGCATCAGATATTTCATTAATATTAGAACAACTAATGGCCTGGAGTTGCTTATCACTGACACGTGGCTGACCCAAGTGAGCAAATGGGCCCACACACAATTAGAACTGATACCTGAGTTGCTGTTGTTGGCAGCATTCTTTGCTGTAATATTGGTTGTACACAAAAGTTACAGCACAAGTGTTGAGAGGGAGGGAAGCAAGGCAAAAAGATTCATCAAAGTTCTCTTGGATATAAGTCATAAAAATCCAATTCAAGCTAGCTTAAGCGTGAAGGTCATGTACTGTCTGAAATAACTGAAATGTTTAGGGGTAGGGTTCCTTTCAGGTGTGGCTTGATCCAGGAGACTTGGGTTCTCCTCTTTTTCCATTTCTTGGTTCCTTTTCTTCATGTTGGTTTCATCCACTGAGAAGCCACCATGACTGCAATGGTTGCAACCTTATAGCTCTACCTGTTCTAGATTCTTGGAGAAGAGGGTATCTCACTTTTCACATTTCCACATGGACTTTCCTTCCCTTTAATCCCAAATGAATTATTATGAAGCATCCATTTATAAACCAATTGCTGAGCTCAAGGAATTTGAGTTTCTGATTGGCCAGGAGAGGTTCATATGATCTTTCCCTAGAATGAGGTGAGAAAACCCCGCACCACTAAGAGTAAGGGAGGCATATTTCCCCCAGAAAAGGGTCTGTTACTAGAGGAGAGTACAGCTGTTGAGGCTCTCAACAAGCAATAAATGTCCACCATAGTGGACGATGGCCAGATGGTCCATGTCTTTCAGAGTGTTACACATGAGAGGGCATGTGATTAGGTGGGTGCTTCATGACCCCAGCTGCTGGACTAGCACCCAAATCAAACTTTCAGATCTGTACAGTGGAGAGCTTTCTTTCCAAATTGGAACAACCTCCTTATGAGGGAGTGAACAGATAATTACTGCGGAGGAGAAGCAGAGGCTAGATCAATCTTTACCCTAGGAGATCAGAAAGGCTTGTTGGCTGGTAACTAATGTGAAAGCTGTCAGAATCAAAATGGAGCAACTTGTGTCAAACTGAAAGAAGGAAGGAGGGAAGGAAGGAAGGAAAAGGAAAGGAAATGACCTCATGCACACATGCCTATGGTAAGAACTTTTACAAAGACTCTGAAGGGCTCTTACCCACATATGCCTGTAACAAGAACTTTATCAAGAACTTTTCAAACTGCAGCTTGCTACCTGAGTCACAAGGACATCTAGTCAGATGTACAAGAACACCTGCCTGCCACACTGTCTCCACTAATGAACTGGCCTCAACTCCTGGAATAGCCCCTGTAACCAATGTTCCTCTCTGTTTCAGAACAAATTATGTGTATGTTTTCCCTTTTCCTTTAAAAGCTTTTTCTCACCTCAACCTCTTTGGACATGCCCTTGGTCCCCATACCCTGCAAGTCCTGGGCTTACAAATCCCCTGTGCACTCAATGATAAACTCTTTATCTTCGGAGGATCTTTCTCTGTCTGCTCTTTAAGTGGGCACTTATATTCAAAAATTTCAGAAAACTCAAACTTTTAAGGTTGCTTCTGAACGTGAATGAAGTCAATGAGAGACACTGGAAGGATGAAAACTAGTTCATCAGACATCATTACACACCTGTTCCCAACACACATTACCTTCAGTGGCCTCTGCAGGGTATGTCCTCACATACACATCCTATCATTATTCTGGTGTGACATTATCGTGTGGATGACACAAATAAGTCACATTGCCTTGTAGGTGTGTTTTTGTGAACATATCAATTTGTGTTGTGGAAATCTTTAAGCACAGAATAGAACTTAAACCTCATTTTTGTATTTCTTATTTCTTCCAAGTCTACTTGAAGCCACCAAAGTGGGGGAAATCTCAGCATTGGATGAGGGGGTGACCATCTAATGTGCCTTCTGACTCTCACTCATTGTGACCAGGGAATGGGACAATGGTTGCGACTGAGGGTTCTATTTTTTTTTTTTTTTTTTGAAACGGAGTCTCGCTCTGTTGCCCAGGCTGGAATGCAGTGGCGCCATCTCGGCTCACTGCAACCTCCGCCTTCCCAGTTCAAGCGATTCTCCTGCCTCAGCCTCCTGAGTACCTGGAACTACAGGTGCCCACCACCACGCCCGGCTAATTTTTTTGTTGTTGTTGTATTTTTAGTACAGACAGGGTTTCACCATATTGGCCAGGCGGGTCTCGAACTCCTGACCTTGTGATCCACCTGCCTCAGCCTCCCAAACTGCTGGGATTACAGGCATGAGCCACCATGACTGGCCGCGACTGAGGGTTTCTTTGATGCATCACCTAGAATAAGTTCACAAGCCACAGAGCTCACAGTTTAGAGTCCTTCCTTGTCCTCCTCTCCATATCCTGGGATTCCTTTTACAGCTTCCACCATGGAGACACCCAAAGGAAGCAGAGCACAACGGGCTTCTAAATAATCACACTGTATTAAGTGCCCAGTTTAGTGCCAGTTGCAGACAGTGCCAATTTCTAGATCCACAAATTCATAAAATAGCAAAAATTATATGCAAAGGAAAAACAAAATTAGACCATGTTGAGCTCACCTGCTGTTTTTGGCAATCAGAAATCACTCCTTTTTCAGATACAGGCAGCTAATTTTTCTTTGAGGAACCATTCTCAAAGAGAAGTTCAAAGAAAAATTAGCTGTCTTTATCTGAAAGATCCTTCCTCTTGCTCAATCTGTGGGCAGTGGGGACCACATTTATTTCTGCCCCATTCCTGTCTTTAAGACCATTCATAAGACCAAGGCCCTTTTCCCCCATCTATTCCTCCCCTCTTCATATTGATTATGTGAGGGATGGGCATAGACTGGTCTAATCCTAGTCCATCAGAAGTGGCTTCTGCCCCCATGGGAGTGTACAGCAAATCAATGCAGATGCACTAGGTTAAGCAAATCAATTCAGATGCACTGGGCTCTACAAAACATGGGCATTATGGGGGTGCATTATGGAGGCACATTGCTTACTGTAGATGATGAAGAAAAGGTTCCTGAGAAGATGCCTGGGAGATGAGTAGGACATGGGTACCGACGTGGGCAAGGGTGGGAAGAGAGAAGTAAAATACACAGGAAGTTTGATTATATAAAGATAGATGGGTACTGTATGAACAGAGATGTGGGAAGGAGGGGCTGCAGCATGAAGGGCTGGTGACGATGCCAGGAGCAGGTGACGTGCAGATTGTGAACCGCACTGGAAAGGGTCTTCATCACTTAAAGTGCAATTGGCATACACAAAAATAGACCTGAATGATCATTTTCAACCAGATGGAGGAAGGTGTCATTGATGGGATTCTAACTACCATTATTTGGAGGTCAAAAATTATGAATATATATAGTCTGATATAGCCTCTGCTTCTCCTCTGTAGTAATCATTCACTCACTAACTCATAAGGAGGTTGTTCCAATTTGAAAAGAAGGCCCTGCACTGTGTAGATCTGAAAGTTTGACTCAGGTGCCAGTCCAGCAGCTGGGGGTCATGGAGAACCCACCTAATTACATGCTCTCTCATGTGTAACACTCTGAATGGCATGGACTATATATATATATATATAATTGTTTTATATATATAATTCTTATATATATACATACATATATAAACATATATGTATAATTGATGAATATGAATATTTATGAAATTAATATATATAATTGTTATATTACTTGAACTCAAAATTATTCTTCTATAAATGTATTCTACAGCAATATTTGGACAAAAATGTAAAAAAAAAAAAGCATGTAAAATGGAACACCATTGAGAGTAAGAAAAATGGGCTCACCAAAAATGTACATCATCAGGGGTGAGTTAAATTAAATGGGATGCATTGCAGTCTTTAAAATAATGTAGTAGGTTTAGGTGAACCCATACGCAAAGATGCACAAGAAACATTACGTGAAAAAAGTAAGTTATAGATAAGTGTATTTGACCACATACAGACACCTGCAAGTGTTCACAAACAACTCTAAAAAGATAAATTCCAAATTGTAAATACTTTGGGATGACGGGGCGGGAGGGGAATAAAACCATTAGAGACATTTTTAAATTACAAATTTATATATTATGGTCCCATTTTAATAAGCAAACAGCAGATGTTGTAACCATTTTTAAACTGTAAAAATGTAAAGAAATAACTTGCATCTGGAAAAGAAATGCACACTGAAGCATTTATACAGGCTTAGTTCAAAAATGCTGTCCTTTTTTTTTTTTTTTTTTTTTTTGAGATGGAGTCTCGCTCTGTCCCCCAGGCTGGAGTGCAGTGGCGTGATCTCCACTCACTGCAACCTCCGCCTCCCAGGTTCAAGTGATTCTCATGCCTCAGCTTCCCAAGTAGCTGGGATTACAGGCATGTGCCACCACACCTGGCTAGTTTTTATATTTTAGTAGACACAGGGTTTCCTTCTGTTGGCCAGGTTGGTCTCCAACTCCTGACCTCAAGTGATCTACCCGCCTCGGCCTTCCAAAGTGCTGGGATTACAGGTGTGAGCCACCATGTCCAGCCCCAAAATACTTAGTTTTGAAATAAATCTTGTTAATCACATGAAAACCTAGCACAACATCCACAAGACATGCAGCATGAGGCTGAAAGTCCTGGGAAAGGAGAACACATGCTAACCCAGTCTATGGGGCCAACCTGGGGACTTACAATGCAGAGGTCAGAGCCCCAGGTGCTCCCTGACTCTTCCCTGGAGTCCTCTGCATAGAGTAAGGAGAAGAATGGCTGACTCTGCTGGTTTCCCAGGCTCTCAGCTGCTGAAGGAGCCCTGAGGAATCTTCTGGAAACAGCTTTCCTCAGACAGAATGAAGAGGACACAGGTGCACAAGGTGATAGCACTGTAAGCCTCGTACTGCCTCTCTTCCTCCATCACGTGACAACTGAGCATCCCCAGGTGACCTCTTTAACTTTTCTGGGACTAGTCTCTCTGCCCTGAAAAGTGGAAACAATCATTCTTGCTCTGCTCACCACGCAGGCTGTTGTGAGGATTGTTTGTGTTAATTAATGTAAAAAAGATCTTGTAAACCATGATGGGCTGCCTGTGCGTAGGAAAAGAACCACTTCCCTCACATAGGGATGATTTTCATCTGATTTCAACCGTAAGGGAAAATAGTCAAGCTTTCAAAGGCTACGAGTAAGATGATCGAGCTTGCTTTGTTTAATAAAAAGAAGGGGCCAGCCACAGTGGCTCATGCCTGTAATCCCAGCACTTTGGGAGGCTGAGGCGGGTAGATCACTTGAGGTCAGGAGTTCAAGACCAGCCTGGCCAACATGGTGAAACTCTGTCTCTACTAAAAAATGCAAAAATTAGCTGGGCATGGTAGCAGGCACCTGTAATCCCAGCTACTCGGGGGACTGAGGCAGGAGAATCACTTGAATCCAGGAGATGGAGGCTACAGTGAGCTGAGATCACATCACTGCACTCCAGGCTGGGCCACAGATTGATATCCCATTTCAAAAAAAAAAAAAAAAAAAGGATATTTGAGAGGCTGAGGCCAAAGGATCCTTTGGACCTTGGAGTTTGAGACCATCCTGAGCAACATAGGGAGACCCTGCCTCTGCAAAAAATAAAATAAAATAAAAAATTAGCCAGGCATAGTGTCATGCACCTGTGGTCCTAGCTACTCAGGAGGCTGAGGTGGGAGGATCACTTGAGCCCAGGTCAAGACTGCAGTAAGCTATGATCGCCCTACTACACTCCTGCCTACGCAACATAGGACACACTGTCTCTAAAAAATAAAAATAAATACAGTTTTAAAAGTCTGGCATTTTGATTTTGCAAAACAAGGTCATGAGCTTTCTGGCCCACTCTGCTTCAGAATTAGCTCAGTGATCTCTCACAAGATACAAACACAAGGAGACAATCACAGAGGCATCCATTTATCATTCAAGAAGATAAGAGAGGCTTTAATTTTTCTTTCTTCCATTTCATAAATACATATGAAATTCTTTCCAGGCTTCATTGACACTGTTGAGCCACGTTCGCATCCATGTCCATGTGTAATGCTTACTCATTGCTGAACTGTGTGTCCTCTCACGCTGGTATGGAAGACAGTTTTGTTGGTTTACCTCTTTAATTTCCCCAGCACAAGTCAGTCTCAGACTGAATGCATGACCTTCAGATTTTACACTTTTAGTTTCTTAAGTGTGTTTTAGTGGATTGATTTAACTTTGGCAGAAGTTTTATTTAAATGTATTTGTTTGAAGTAAATATTTAAATATTAACATTTACTAGGGAAGGAAGAGGCTTATTTATATCTGGTTGATTTCCTGGGAGAAGCTTTGGTTTTTTTCTCTCTCTAGGTTTATTAATCATTTTTCAGTACACCATCTTCTGTCCCGGAGGGGCCATGCTGAAGTCAACCAAGCCCCAGGCCAGACCAAGAACAGAACAACTTTGTATGTGGTCCTGGGGATGGGATGAAAGTTAGTAAAGGAAACATTCTGACATCCAAAAGGTCAAGGTCTATTTACAGACACAAACATGCCATGTATCAGGATAATATGACCAAATATTAAACAAGCTGTGAATTTTCTCACTCTTCCTCCTACCCACACTTATCTCCAACCCTAGAAGCTAGGACATTCCCGTCATATTACCCAAGGTAGGACCAAAACCAAGCCAAAAAGAAAAGTAAGTAAATCCATTCTGAGCTTTGGGCTTTCACAATAGAATACTGAAACCCAAGAGAGCGACTGCTCTTAAGGAGATTTGTATCCTTTGAACCTACTTGGTGTTTTAGTGGATTGATTTAACTTTAACCTTAAAATTTGACCTAAACAATAGGCAGAGAACATATATGATCTGGCTGGGCACAGGGGCTCATGCCTGAAATCTCAGCACTTTGGGAGGCCAAGACCAGCTGATCGTTTGAGCCCAAGAGTTCAAGACCAGGCTGGACAACATGGCGAAATCCCTTCTTTACAAAAAATACAAATATTAGCTTGGTCTAGTGGCACACACCAGGAAACAGAGGTAGGAAGATTGCTTGAGCCCGGGAGGTCCAGGCTGCAGTGAACCAAGATCATGCCACTGGGCTCCAGCCTGGGCAACACTATGAGACCCTGTCTCAAAAAATAAAAAATTATGTATATAAATATGTGTGTGTGTGTGTGTGTGTGTGTGTGTGTGTATAATCTATCAGAATGGACTCTTCTAGTTTTCCTCTAATAAACACCCCCATGTACTTGAGGGTAGAATGTGTCTGGAGGGAAAGCAAGGGAAAGTACATCGTTGCCACCCACTGGTCTTGGTCCTAAGTGGTGATAATGGAGTCATAGGTCTTCCAGATGGTTTGGGAGATCTGGAATAGAAGAGACCTGGATCTCTTTTCTTATCCAGTTGCCATAGAGTTCCTCGTGCCACCTTGGTTTAAGAGAGTAGACTAAAGATGGCCCCATGTGAATTCAAGGCACAGAGGCCTGAAAGGACCACCCAGTTCAGTGTTTCCCCAGTGAATGGAGAAGCCAAACAGTCTTTTGAGCCAGCAGCACTGGAGGACAAGGATGGGCCTCGTGACTGGGTTCAGGGTGCACCATTATGGATATGTGGCAAATCTCATATTGGGGGACCAGCTGGGAATGCAAACTTATCAGAGAAGGTTAAGGAGGAAAAGAAGTCAGACAGGAAAACCATCTCTGTGGACACCAGCGTCAGACAGAGAAGAGCTGAGAACTACTTATGTGCCCACGACAGTCCTGTGTGAGCCTCCTGGTGCTCAGACTCAACTCCATGAAAAAGAGGAGGATGGAATTACAAATTAATTGAGTGTAATGCATATTTTTTGAAATAAGTTAGAATTGGTGAGCTGATGCTTTGTGCCATCTGACTAAACAGGGCTAGAAATAAATGTTAAGTTGATTAGGCAGACTGAGAATGTGTACCTAATACACACAGAAAGAATGAGAGAAATGGAGACAGATATGGAAAGAGAGAGAGGAAAGAAAAAAGAGAGAGAGAGAGTGAGCATGTGCATGATCTATCCTGGCATGCAGGCATGACACCGGTTAGTACTTGGCTTGTACACAGTAGGCAGTACTCAATAAATGATTGTTGAACAAATTAAGTAAAAAGGGAATCTGAAGTAAGGAGGTGAAGATGGAAGTGGATGTTGCAGAGTGAGATGTAGGGGGAGGTTGTTCATTCTTTTAAAAAAAATTTCGATCACAATTTTTCCCGCAGTGTACCTAAGTTTAAAATAAGATTGAAATGTGTTCTCTGGTGTTCTCAAAACTCCACTCCCTCACTTGCAGTGGGAAAGACTGGGTACCGTAGTCAGACACACTGCGAGGGGATGGTTCACAGGGTGTCCAGCTCCTCCCAGTTTGCCTGGGACTTTTTCAGCTTTAGCACTGAAAGCCCCATGTCTTAGGAGGGGCCCAGTTCCAAGCTCATTGGGTCATTCTGATTCAAATTCCGCACATCCAGTCATAGAGGGATAATGTTCCCAGCTCACAACTCTCCGCTTTCAGGATTTGAAAACCAAGAAAATGGAATTTGAGGTATTCAAAGGAAGAAGCACAGCACAGCCTGTTGTATCTGCACAGTAATAGTCAACAACAATAGAGTGTTATTGAAAAAATAAATTAGCTCATTATGGTTGGGGTCATTGAGAAAGATGTGGTATCACCAGTCTTCAAATCAAGAGACACATTGGGGAACTAAATGCCACAATCTCTTTATTGCATCCCTACCTAAATGCAAAGCTCCCCTCAACCTAGGCCACATCAAGATGAGATCTTATCAGGAGAGAGGAAACTATTAATTTGGCCATGTTAATTTATCACAGTGGAGATCTGGTGCATAATTTAACACTTATCTCATTAATTTTATAGCTACTCTTTACAGCTCTTACAACAGTTAGAAATGTTTGATGGAAAAGGGAGCTCTCCTCACCTCCTAGGCATTCCGTGAGAAAAGGTTTTGGGAAACGTTTTGTGTCGCATGTTTCTCTTCCCTGACCTCTGTTTCCAGACTGCTGCAAAGCACAGTGTGCCCACAAGATTTCTGGATGACGGGGAGGTGCAGTTCACAGCATCAAGTCATGCAGAAGGGAGGGGAGTTAACTTGATGGGTGTCTGAGATGGGCTGATGAAATGCAGCATGGAAAATTAGCCCAGTAAAACAGCTATAAAATTTGAATCACAGCATCATAAAAATGCCAACAGACCAAGAACAATAAATATCGCAGGCAGCCAAGAACAAGGCAAGTTACCCTATGCACAAACCTGGAAATACACATTACCTTTAATAACTTCCTTGTAACACTGTTAATTAAGCCATCTCTGAAACAATAGTCAATGTTTTGAAAAGATGATTCTATCATAGAAAGTGGAGACAAATTTTAACCCTGATGACTTTCTATTTCTTTACATAAAAAAATCTGCAAAGATGGAGAAACATTAAGGATAATCTATAATCACGGTTTTCCCAAGTAGAAATAAATTCTTGTTATCTGCAGCAGTTATTTTCTTTTTTCTTTTTTAAATTTTTTAGTTGACAAATAAAAACTGTATATATTGATGATATACAGCCTTGTATTTTGAAATATGCATACCATACTTTGTAGAAATAAATCAAGCTAATTAATGTATGTATTGCTCCATACTTATTTTTTGTGGTAAAAACACTTGAAATCTACTTTCTTAGCAATTTTCAAGAATACCATACATTGTTGTGAACTATAGTCACTATGTTATACAATAGTTCTCCTGAACTTTTTCCTTTTATCTAACAAATAATTTGTATTCATTGACCAATTTTTCCCCATCCCACATTAATTATGTTCTATAGAGTCACCTTGGACACGGAATTATCAAGTACTGAACATTTTCTAGGAGAAATGAGATAAATTTCTTCAAGCCTCTTGTCACAACCTTCTTATCCATCAATGAATACATAACCTCATCTTACATGTGTTTCTGTTTAAAGACACCTTATTTAATACATAGCACCAACTCATTAACATTGAACTCATGGCCAGCCCTGCTGTCTGTCACTCATGCCTGAATGAAGCATCTTTGCATTTTCTCCATCAGGTACCTCACATTGCCTTCTTGTGGTAGACAAGACTTCAGCACTATGCTTGCAGTCCATGTTAAACAGCAAAATCATCCATGAAAGAAACACAAAAATGCAAAGAGTCTGGCACTAAATAGACTACAAAAAGGACACTTGTTTATGGTATGAGGGCTGAAACAAGAAAGCAGAGTGTCACCTTGTTCCATCTAAGGTGAAAACTTAATTTTTTTTTCTGTTCCGTGTATGTTCAAAAATGAGCATAAAACCACCAGGAACATTGATTTTGGAATTACAAGTACATTTTAGCAAGTACATTTTCAAACACAGTATCTGTAAATAAGGAGGACAGAGAGTGACTTTGTTTGCAACTCCCAATAATTTAAACAATATTTAACTAATGCATTTTTCAGTATCACTCTGAGTCTCCGGTTACAATAAACAGGAAGTGATTATAACTTTCTTAGAAAAGCAACATAATGGAAGGATATGGGAAAACTCAGAAAGTCAAGGCAAAATGTAAAGAAAGAGAAAAGATATGAAAGGAAAATCTCCTAGGATTAGGTTGCATTCATTTCTGCATTCCTACATATTTACAGAATTGGTATGTGCTAGGCACTGTTTGTGTTTGAGATACAAAAGTGAACAAACCAGGTCTCTGTCAGTGTGGAATTTACAATTTATTAGAGAAGACAATAGAATGTTAACATATCTTAGAAGTGATATGTGCTATAGAAACCAAAAGCCATGTCAGTGGGCATCTGGTCTGCCAGGGATGCGAGTAGGCAGGTGGCAATTTTAAGTCCTATTTCTGCTTCTTTAGCAAGTCATGTGAACTCAGCCAATTTTCTTAACTTCACTGCATCTTATATTATTTCATCTGTGGCTTAGGTATAATAAAAACACCTAGCTCATAGGGTTGTTTGTAGGATCTTTAGGATTATTGCAGGTGAAGTACTTGACACAGTGCCCAGCACACAGTAGGTAAGTTTTCTGTTTCATGCTTATGATAATATGCTATTACAGTAATGATACAAATGCTGCATAGCCCCTCTGAATCACCACCAGTGTTGGGCCTGTTGAAGATTTGAACTTTCCTAACATATTTGTCAATGGAGAGATTGTCTTTGTCTTAAAGAATATGCTTTCCATAATTGTAGAATAAAGAAAAGGCAGTAACAGAAAACCCAGCCTTGAAAGATACTTGGTGTATCAGTTTAATTTTTTCAAATATTTTACATATTCTTTTCTTTCTCATCTTAAGAGAACAAAATGGGTGTGTTCTTCTATGCAGCATTTATAACTTTCTTGCTATAGAGAATGACTTATGACTAAACCTGATGATGAACAGAGCTTTCTCTTTGTGGTTTTCAATAACATAACCCAGATAGAAACAAGGCTGCAGATATTTATGCCTCTCCCTTGTCTCTTTGAAAGTTTAAAATCATCCCCTAATTAAACCGGAAGACATTGTGCATGATTTTTTTTTAAAGGCTGTAACAGCAAAGACAAGCTAGCTAGCTATTCAGTTATCTGGTGAATAGCTATTTACTGAACCTCTTTCCTTTTCTTCTCAAGCTCACAGTTATACTCTATTTACAGCCTCCCTTGCAGAGGGACTAGGACTTAACTGAGAAAGGTGAGTAGAAGCCATATCACCACCTCCCAGCCTGACCTATAAAACGTCTCATGGGTAGTCCTGCATGCTTTGTTGCTGCAAATCAGAAGATGCTTGTTAAAGATGGAGAAGTCACAGGATGGAAAAAGCCTAGGTTCTTGAATTAGTTCTTGGTGGATCTACTCACCCATCAACAAAAATGACCAGACTGGACTTTCAATGAGTGAAAAATGAACTTCTATGGGGCTCTAACCATTACATATCTTGAGGTGCATTTACTACAGCATAGAACTTTACCCTAAATGAGAGAATGGAAACCCCTAAGAATTGACTTTAGTGACAGACCTCGATTTCTTCAGGTAGTATAAACGTCTCAGATCTTTACTTACTGATTTCAAAGAAACAAGGACATAGCTGCTCCCATATCCCCATAAATATTGCAGGAGTTGAAAACATTTCTGGGATTGCAACCTAGTCACATTGATCGTAGAGAAAATGACTGTGCAGTTGATTTGGCTGTACTGTGTCCTGGGATGTTCCCTTCCACTACTGTTGAATTTATGGTCTCTTTTGGACACACAGTACATCCAACGAAAACTGATCTTGCATCTATAATTATGCCATTGTTTTCAGTAAACATCTGGGAAATATAATGGCTTGATAATTTCCAGTGAAAATGTGTCCTTCCCTTCCATTCTCTAAAACTTCCCTGAATCTGTGAATTGACTTGTTTATACCTGACCAGTCAAAATGTGAATTTGGGGGAAGAATGTGCAAAACCAATTCAAAAAGCATATAGGGAAGTCAGGATGCTGCTATTAGGAGAGAAAACCCTGCATATGCTTCAGGCCTGGGAGAGCTGCCCCAGCCTCACCTGCAGTTGTGAACCACGATCACATCTCCTGCTCCCAGCTCTCCAAATTTCCAGAGACAGACATTCTACAAGCCAGACTCCTTTGCCATGACACTGCTCAAGACGTGCTTCATTTATTTCAATTTCTGATTTGCACTGTGGAGCGAAAAGCAATCTATCATCTCTTAGGGGAAGAAGGCCATTTGGAAGAATCTATTTTGTACATTCATAACAGCATTGCTGGTTCTTGATGAATATCAAATAACAGCAGCAAAAGAAAGAAATAGGGAGACAGAGGGGAGGGGAGGAAGGGTGGAGAGAGGAAGATGGGAGGAAGAGAAGGAGGAAGAGAAGGAAGGAAAGAACAAGGGAGGGATCAAGGGAGGGAGAGAGAATCCTATCAAAGAATCCTCAGAGTTGCCCATAAGCCCAGACACCAGAGTAGTCAACAGGCAAATTTGTTTACTTCTTTTCATAGATGGAAAAACAAGCCACGGAAGTAACTTTTCACATAAAAGTGAATTTAAGGCACCTGAGACTTTAATGTGTGGGCAGATAATAAAAATTCTGTTGAAATGTTTTCATGTATCTGTGCCTAAAATAACATTCTGAGATGTTATCATCTTTTAATTCAGGTTCTCCTCGTAGTTTCCCTTTTTCCACCCCCTCCCTGCCCGAAAGAGTCAGATCCCTGTTCATTGCATCATGGAAGGTACGAGGAAGAGTGGAAAACAGAAATACCTTATCAATTTTTGGCACTTAATTTATAAAGGGCTGGTTCTTAGGAGACAATGATAGCTACCACGTACACAGTTAGCATGTGCTGGGTGTTATTCCAAGTTCTTTGTTCTTAACTCATTTAACTCTTACAGCAGTTCTACATCGTCCCTATGCTACAGAATGGGAAAATGAGGCACAGAGAGGTTAACGAAGTTGCCCAGGTGTGTACAGGTAGTAAGGGGTAGAGGCAGAGTTTGAACAAAGAAGTCTGGCTCCGAAGTCCAGGCTCTGTGTCACTCCACTGTAGGGTTTTACAACACTACGATGCCTCACTATGCTAACATGCTTTTCTCAAAACCTAAGTAGGGTTTTTGAGGAGATAAATGGCATATGGTTGTAAAGCTTTGGTAAGATCTTTTGCTTACCAACAGTAACAGAGAAAGACTTGCACACTCAAAAACAGTGCCCTCCTCCAAGTGCCTGGGGGAGGAATGGGCATAAGAACAAAGAGGACCTCCAACCTGATCTCGGCAGGACCTCTGGAGGAAGAGAGGGAGAAGGAAGGGCTCTGTGTGCAGCTTCCAGAGGTCCCCAGTCCTGGAAAGAAGCAGATTTTCCATAAAACTAATGAGCTGCAGAAGCCTTCACTGGCTTAGATCTATCTCTCAGTCCTCAGGAAGAAGTGTTGGTCATGTGTTCACACTGTGACATGCAAAAGATGCTTTAATTATCACAGTCCATCAAGACCTTTGTTCAATGAGGTTGATGCAAAAGTCATTGTGGTTTTTGTAATTACGTTCAATGGCAAAAATCTTAATGACTTTTTTTTGTTTGTTTGCTTTGTTTTGTTTTGTTTTGAGATGGAGTCTCGCTCTGTCACCCAGGCTCAAGTGCAGTGGCGTGATCTCAGCTCACTGCAAGCTCTGCCTCCCAGGATCATGCCATTCTTCTGAGTAGCTGGGACTACAGGTGCCCGCCATCACACCTGGCTAATTTTTTGTATTTTTAGTAGAGACGGGGTTTCTCTGTGTTAACCAGGATGGTCTCGATCTCCTGACCTCGTGATCTGCCCGCCTCGGCCTCCCAAAGTGCTGGGATTACAGGCGTGAGCCACTGCGCCTGGCCAGTGACTTTTGCACCAACCTAATAATCTCTCCTCTGTCATGCATCCCAAGTTGCATGATGGTCCAGGGGCTGCAGGCATGCTTGCCATGTGGCTAAGGGTTCTTTGAGTTGTGTGTGCGTTTGTCTGGGTTTAGTGGGATGTGTTTGCATGGCCGAACTCAATTCTCAGTATAGTTATGGTAGCTGTCTTGCTGTAGGAAGAACTTCCAGGAGTAATTCTTCCCCACCGTGTCAACCCACTCAAAGGTGCTGGGTCAGGGTTTATTTCCTAATATGAGCTTGTTCTAGAAGTGAGCCTGATGTGGATAGTGCAGAAGAAACAAGTTTTGAAATGAATGGAGGGAGAAATTTGTCTATAATTATCCCTCCAATCATCAGAGGTATAAAACTATCAATTAAGGATTTGGTTTTCATCAATGCTTAGTCACAACAAGATTTCTGATGATTCAATGTTATCTGCAACCTGTTGCATTTCCCCACAATTCATATGTCGAAGCCTTAACCTCCACCCTCCCCCCGTGGCTGTATTTTGAGATGATGCTTCTAAGGAAGTAATTAGAATAAATGAGGTCATAGGATGTGGCTTGATCATATAGATTGGTGAATTTATATTAAAAGGATTGGATGTCTTTTGGTAGTAACATATTTTGAGTTTGATTGTCATCAAAAGCATCTTGAAGCATCTCAAAGGCAATTCTTTAAAATTCATTTTTAATTCTTCTGTGTTTGTTTATATGTTTTTTAAAAATCAAATATTCCCAATTACATCAGTGTATATCTCAACTTTCTGGCAAGGCCACCTGATTATCAGTGGTATTGACAAGAAAGCACCCTCTTATCAGCACAGAGCCTCATTCCTTTGTATAGTTCACAGGTCTCTGAAAAGCCTCCTGCATGGGCATTAATTGCTATTCAGAGCTAACTCCTAGCGCCAGGAGATTTTTGTCTTTCTGAAGGTTTGCCTGTCAGTGTGACTGGATTATCTGGCTATTAAACTGTGGTCCTTTCAGCATGCCGACCCTCTAAAGAGATTGTGCTAGCAACTCGAGATAAAGAAGTGACTTTCTGTAAGTGTAAGCAAACTCCAGCCTTACTCTTAGAAACAACTGACAATCCAATGTGCTACTTAATCAATCTGCAAACAGCTACTGCATGGCCTCTGGGTGCTGGATGCTACCGGAACATTAGCACTGTAGGAGTTCAGTCAGGCTGGTGGGAAAAGTATTGGTTATAATAGCCACAAACCCTCTTGGAAGGCCTGAGAGTTTGCATAACTTTGGTAATAGATCTGGCTGCAGTTGGCCTGGTCACTTTACCTTTAGTTAAATAAATTAGAGTAGTAACAAAGGAATATGGGGAAGTTATCTATGTAGCTTGTTTACTCGTGTGGTCCTAAGACTAACCTTTGATCTACTGTGGGTGCTTAATTGCTTTCTACTCTGGAAGTCCACAATGTCAATTACCCTCTAGTGGTGTTGACTCAAGCCTTTGTCAATTAATCTTTATTGAATAAATGCGGGTCTCCCTTGCAAGTCGAGGCCGCGGTCGCAACTGTTTACAGCACTCTGCTTGGAGTCTGTAAGCGGCTCAGACACTCAGCCGGACTGGCAAAACAAAATATCTGTGTGTCAGTGTACTTCATTAATCCGTCGTTGGGTCAGGGTCTGTGGGAAGACCCCCACGTAGCACCATGCTGGGTAACATCCATCAGACGAGGATTTTAAAAGTTAGGCCGTTGGGTTTGTTTTAAGGTGATGTGCTTTCTAATTTTGGAGTTGGAGAATTCAGAGAGGAGAGGAATTGAGGAGATAGGCCAGAGACTAAGCATATTTCCTGCTTTGTCATGGAGAAGAGGATTAATAAAACATGAATTGTGAACCATCAGAATAGAAACGATGCAATACTTAAACATTATGAGATTATAGTTGATTGGGGTTTTCTTTTTATCCTTTTTATGTTTTGGCCAATTATTAAATATTACTTGCATGGTTAAAATAAGATGAAGGTAAAATAGTACCTGCATTACTCAGGATGCTTCAGCTCTAGAAGGATAAATACCCAACCAGCAGCAGCTTCACCCAGAAGGAACATGAATTGCTTCCTTCGCAAGAATTGGGAAATCTGTGGTTCTGTGCCTTTGTTCAGGTTTCCATGATGTCATGTGAGGTTTAACCACTTTTCCTCTTTCTTCACTGTCATCCTCTCTGTTTTGGCTTTTTCTCCTCTTGGCTGTCATCTCATGGTGACAAGATAGGGGGAGCAGTGCCAAGCATTACATGTGTGTCCCAAGCAGGAAGGAAGAAGGTGACAAAGTGGCTTTCATCTTAGAGATTTCCCCAGCAGACACTCCCCGTTTTGCTGAAGAGAAGCCAAGAAAACCAGTGACTGATAAAGGGGATCTTGATGGCCATGATTTTCATCTGTGGCCAATCACAATCTATGTTCTGTGCGTGGGCTGTGGCCAATCACAATCTATGTACTGTGGCTGGGCTGTGGCCAATCACAATCTATGTACTGGGAGTGGGCTGTGGCCAATCAAAATCTATGTACTGTGGGTGGGTATGTTGCACTGCAGTCACATCAGGATTCTATCAGCAAGAAAATTCCTACATGGGTGGACAAGCAAAAATGTCAGTCCCTGCCTTCACCACCTTCCTTTCCACTCGTGTCGAGAGCCCTAAAGATGACCTGATTCTCAGCTGGGGCTCTTCTATGAACAGCTGGTAGCCATAAGGAGCAGAAAAGAAAACTTCTGATTCTGAATCTATCAACTTAGCCTCTGACACTGCATACAATGCTGCATCCTACAGCCCCCACTTTTTTGGGTAGACGGCCATCAGAATCCAAAGTTTATATTATTCTGAAGATCTGTTTGTTGTAAACAACAAACATATACAAAAAAAGGCCCATATACAAGTAAAACAAACAAAACAGGTTTGTTTATGCGTCTAAGATTCATTCTAAGGGGCTTTTTTGAATTCAAAATTGTTTTACTTGTATATGGCCCTGTGAATTTTCCAATAGAAAAGAGTCATGCTTCTGTGTAAGTGCTAAGAACATGCCCCTGAGAAATTGGAGACAGCCAGTTCTCTGCTTGAGGAAATCTTATGGGGAAATATATTTCTTTCACACGTCTGTGGGAGAAAGAGAAATAAGGAACAGGGGAATGGAAAGAGCCACTTCCAATCAATTAATCCACCAAAGCCACCTTTTGCAGATGGCCCCGTGATTGGTGTCCTCCATCCTGCAGCCTTGGCTTGAGGCTTAGGTCTTGTATGTATGTGAGCTGAGCAGTCTTCTCTTAAGATGCCTGAAGTCCCACTACTAACAAGATCTTTAAGCATTTCCCTTTCTAGTCTTCTGCTGTGAAAACAAAAACAGCTCTTCTAGGGCACAAGAAGGATAAATAACACAAGGAGACCCTAACGTTACATTGGTGGTATGAGATTAAAGACACGGTTTTGTTTTTTGTTTTTTGTTTTTGTCTGTGTGAGACAGAGTTTCGCTCATTGCCCAGGCTGGAGTGCAGTAGTGCGATCTCAGCTCACTGCAACCTCCACCTCCCAGGTTCAAGCAATTCTCTTGCCTCAGCCTCCTGAGTAGCTGGGATTACAGGCATGAGCCACCATGCCTGGCTAATTTTTGTATTTTAGTAGAGACTGGGTTTCACCATGTTGTTCAGGCTGGTCTTTAAGTCCTGACCTCAGGTGACCCACACACCTTGGCCTCCCAAAGTGCTGGAATTACAGGCATGAGCCACTGTGCCCAGCCTAAAAATGCTTTTATTCCTTGTGAAAAAAATTGACAGAAGGAGCTTCCTGGACAAAGTGGAAAATCAGAGAGGTCACACCTTATGCTGCTGTGTGCTTCTAAAGACCGCACGAGCATGAAAATTAGGCATGGTCAAAATGGCTCAATAAATTCAACACAGACAGTGTTTTCCTCCAAGGTCGCAGATCACCAGTCATTTGTTGTACCACAAGACCCAGGACCTGACACATATCTTCCCTTACCATTCCCTTTTTGAGAGATTACCAATACTCAATCAAGGTGAGGTTTTCTTGCTGCCACAATTATAAAAAACTCAGCTCTACTTCATCAACATGTTTGTCTGATGGTATTTCTGGGGTGGCTGATAGTTGACACTAGGAAGCCTAAGATTAGAGACATAATTACGCATTTAAGGTCTCCTAGTGTCATAACCATACTCTGCCCTTTGAGGAGAGTATATCAACCACTAGTATTTCAGCCATTGCTTTATGGCTTTGTATTGGTATTTTCCCATTTCACCCACTTAAACTCTTTCAGCAGTGGTGTCTGTGCTCAGGTAAGAGGCAAATCTGTAATTCCTATGGATGGTGGATAGGATGTCACTGTTAGAATTTCATTGCCAGGAGGGAGAAGAAACACCACTGAATAAAGAAAGTCTTTAGAGGACCTCAAGTCATTTAACCCCTCAGAAAGCCATAATGTAAGACATAAGAGATGGATTTTAATGGAGCTGTTATCCTCAATGTCAGGCCAGCCTGCAGCATGCTCTCCCATGGGTGTTTATTGTCCCAATTTCCCACATAAAACGGAGGATGTTTCGTCTGTGGAAATTCCTTGAAGGAAGTTTGGCTCTCAGCTGTTCTCAGCCTGAAGAGGAGGTTCAAAGAGGTATTGGAACCCTTGTGAAAAGGTTAAGTTTTCTAGAAATAATGAGTGGTCAACAGATCCTACTACATAAGAAGCAATCTTCTTACTGCTTCTGAGAAGTAGAAAAAGAGGACTAGAGGAGGCAACGCTTAATCTAAAAGATTACTAATAATGAAATTTGGGGCATGTCAAGAGGTTGCCACTCAGATCCTAGCAGACCCAAGGCCCAAGCAGAAGACTGAGGCTGCCTGGGTGGAGGACGTCAGTCATGAGAGGCAGGTGCAAAGGTGGCTTTCCAGAAATAACACAAGGAGCTAGGGAGTGTGCCAGAATCATTTATGGCCTCTGGATTCATGGAAAAGTAGGTAAAGAGGCAGCCGTGACCACCAGTTGATAGGCCTCCCAGCAGGCAAGATGTCTCTAGGTGGTTTGTGGTCCACACTGACTGGGGTCTCACTGACAGTAGCAGGTTGTAGGGTCACACCTTCACTAAGTATGTCATTTCACTTTCCTCCCCAACAAGAGCACTGCTCCCTGTGGGTTGCCTGAAGATTTAACCTACTTAATATATACTTAGTTGCCATAAAATACCATGAGGGCAGTGTTGCTTATTGGGTATGCTTACTCTCATTTTACAAGGACACGAATTGGCTTATTTTTTATTTTATTTTATTTTAGTGAGTCAGTTCCTGCCTTATGAGGCACAAGTGTGAATACAACCCAACTCACAGAATAATAGCAAATCAACAGTAAACCTCCCCAACCCACTGGCCCCAAGATGCTGTTCTGCAGCTGGTTCATACTGAAGTTCTATCTGAGGTCAGAGACTTACACATTTTAAGGATTTTGTTTTATTCCAAGCCATTTGTTTTTCCTTCTATCTCAGATTTGCCTGTATATGAAAATATGCTGCATAAATTATAATCTTTGCTCCTAATGTGTATTGCTAAGTTGCTTGTCACTTTTAGCAGCAGTTTCTGTTTAATGACCATTCTCCTTTTAATTCAAGTATTAAGAATCTGTAAACGACAAAGTGCATATGGTAATGCTTCATAACCCCTTGTTAATTTATTATGTATTAGTATGCTCAGTAGCTACCATATATAGACTGAATAGAGTCTACTTTGTTACACTCTCCAAAATTCTTGTGCTAATGCAATGAGACAATCTTTGCTCAATAGCAGAACAGTGTCTGACATATGCTAAGTGCTCAATAAAAATCAGCTAGTACTTTTATTAAAGATATTTAAGTTATTCACTTATGAACTCTGCATGGAACAACTGTACAAGAGGCTCTGTGTACACCAGTCAAGAGAGAAGGCATGTTTATTTAGACTAAACTTAGTCTAGGTTTTGAGATCCCAGGAGCATAGACAGATACTGGGGAAGAGTAAGATAAGTTTACACAGCCTGGGCAAGATGGTGAAACCTCGTGTCTACTAAAAATACAAAAAAAAATTAGCCGGGCATGGTGAAGGGTGCCTGTAATCCCAGCTACTCGGCAGGCTGAAGCACAGAATTGCTTGAACCCAGAGGCAGAGGTTGCAGTGAGCTGAGATCACACCACTGTACTCCAGCCTAGGCAACAGAATGAGACTCCATCTCAAAAAGAAATAAAAAAAGATAAGTTTACCTATGTTGCTTGAGCTTCTCTTTAATTCATTTAATTTTGTAGTTATACAACAACAGATTAGCTTGGTTTTATCTATACTTACTCTTGGAGTTTAACCCAGCAATGGATGGCTCATTCCTGGGAGAAGAGGAAACGACACGACACTGTACTATAACTGGTGACAAAGCCTTAGTGGCAGAGCCAGAATCAACAGCCATCTGCCCCCAGCGTTAGCATTTTTCTCAGTGTCAATAATAGCAATATTAGCTGAGATGTATCCATGTTTACTCCATCACAGGTAACTTATTTAATCTGCCCAAGACCCTGGTGAGGGATTAGCCTCATTAAACAACTCTTTATGAAACAAATCTTAAATCAACACGGGAGACCCTCAGACTCCAGATTTTGTGCTCATTATATGTAGTTTTGTTCCCAGGTCTTTCTACTTTTCAATAATTTAGGTGATAGAATTATCATTTTAAAAAAATGAACTTAACAGTGCTAAGCCTTAAGTTCAATATTATGTTCAGAGAAAGCTTTCCAAAAAGGGAAAAGCAATGAAAATAAAATCTTGTCAGGTTTGGTACTTTTTTTTACTAATTCTCAATTTCATTTTCTATTATGGTTTTAAAGGTAGAAAATACATATTTTAACCTTTCTGTTATTTATTTGTTTTAATATTGAAAGCCTCTCAGGGGTGTACTACCCAGAATCTCTGCTCACATTCTCCTGCCTTACCTTTCCCCCAGAGGCACAGGTGTTTATATCATCTGTTACTCTCTGAGCTTTTGGGGGACCCCTCCCTGGTTCAATGCTTCATGTTTAGCTGTGACATTACCATAGGTTGATTGAAGGATCCCCTGGAAGTGCTGCCTCATCTCTCTTCCACATGGCCAAAGTCAAAGCAAGCAGAAAGGGGCATATAGAAGCCCCTCCACTGAAAATACAAAGCCCACTGGGAATTTATTTTTTCTCATTCAGAAAAAGGTGACCTTTTACTACCCTCATAGAGAAAGTAGAAATTTTCTCTTCTCAGAAATATCCATGAGGATCAATACTGGCTATTGATTGAAGTTTAAATCTGACCTTCATTTCTATTATTTCATGAATATCACATGTTCCATGGATCTCGACATGTTGACAGTGTCTAGCACAGCCTTAGACTGCAGTCACAGCAAGAAGCTGAGGACTCGCCAGTAGAACATTCTTGAAACAAACTTCTTAAATGTTTTCTGAAATGCACTTAAGGACATTTCCTTGCATATCCTCATTCATTTATCTAAATCCCTATTTTGCTAAATTCAAACCTTAGCAGTACAAACTTTAAAGACAATGTGTTTTCGTATATTCAATACTCACTGGAAAAATTAGCTCTTCCTACTATTTTTCCTAGAACTGTACCCTTTAAAGCTCTGGAAAGCAGTGGAAGGCAGAACAATGGGTCTAATTACAGAGATATTCTAGTTTTAATTTTAATCACCTAGTAGTACCCATACTATTATTTATGTGATCATGAAAAATAAAAATAAAAACTAATTGTGTGAGTAAAATCTGATTTTAAAAAACATTTTTCTAATATTTAGCCTTGTCAGCACACATAAAAGAAATATTTTTGCATTTATAATATTTTAGGGGCTAAAGTACACTGATTAAATATACTGTTTTGAGCAAATCATAAGTAATGCAGCCTTTACATTTTGGACTATCAAAAATGCCATTCACATGTAATTACATCTCATCACCAATCTTTCTCAATGGCCATTTAAGGCTTTAAACTCATCAGAGCAACATCCAGTTATAAAGAGGGTCTTCTAGTCCAATAACCACCACTTCCTGGGTGTATGTCAACAATGAATTCATTCCCTGATTACCTTAACAAAGATGGGTTGCATGCTTTCTAAGGGCCAGGTGTTTTGTTAGGTTTATTCATATTTGTTTTATAACTTCACATATGTTAGCATCATCACTTTATAGGAAAGAAAACTGAAGATTAGAGAGTTTAAGTAGTTTGCCCAAAAAACACTTTATCATTAAGTTTGAATTTGGATCTGTGGCTTCCTCTGTAACCAAATATTACAATTTCAGCATCAACTTTTCTCATTGGAAAGGGCATTGAAATGGTGTTTTAGCGGGTCATCCTACTAAACGCTTCCTTCCTTCTTTCCTTCCTTCCTTCCTTCCTTCCTTCCTTCCTTCCTTCCCTCCTTCCTTCCTTTTTTTCTTTCTTCTTGACTTTACTGGGATTTTTTAAAAATCTCTTTTTCTAGCAATACAAAGGTTTGAGTAAGCAAAATATTTCTGTCAAAGTGATAATTTGTCTATGCGAAGCAAAACATCTCAACTTACTGAAAACTTTATTTTTAAATTCCAAGCCTGCTCTCTAGTTGGTGACACACATCTGAATCTTGGAGGAAAGTTTTGGCCCCACTAAAAATGTGACAGTCATCAGCCTAGGGACAGTACCTGGAACAAACAAACAAAAAATTATAAAAATGGGTGAGATATCAAAGGAGAGTGTGTGGATTGAAAAGACCAGTTGGCTGAGAAAAAAAACAGCCAACCAACTAATCAACCAAAAAACAAACCAGCCCTCAGGAAACAGGCTCATGCAGAGGGCAGGCAGAGGCCAGGGAACCATGCAGGAGTAAGAGGATAGCAACTGAAGTCAGAGAGATGCCTGGTGGCTGAGAAAACCACAAGAAATAAAGAAGAGTTGGGTATAAATCTACTACCTTAAATCTGAATTATCAAGGTCAACCTTTAACCAAAATCAATATCTAAACGTTGCCAAAGAATAATAACAACCCATTGGACAACCAGGATCCCGAGATCCTGGTCTCTAAAACTAACTCAGCTGGAAGAATCCAGGACTCATTGGAAACTGGCTGGTTCCAAGTCTTGGGGCAAAAATAAATTCAGAAGGTGGCAGCAACTTGCTGATGTTGCTGGAAAGCAAGAATACATTTTAAATATCAAAAGGAATGCTAAAGGGGCAGAGAAATTTAATAAAAGGCTTTTATAAGGCCAGTTGTTCAAAGCTTTAAAAACAAAACTCACAGCAATGGATTATTGAAATAAGTTGAGTTAATGAAAGGAGGTGAGTTAATTATATTCAAAGAAAAAAAGGATTCAAAAGGGAGATAAGATCTTTTTACTGGAATAAGTGTGTGGCATTTGTGTGTGTCTCTCTCTGAGTGTGTGTGTGTGTGTGTGTGTGAGAGAGGGCGAGAGAATTTTACTTATTCTGTTAATCACATGGACATATGTATGTGTGACAAAATTAATGGTATCAATTGTATGATGCTTTAGAATATGTTGGAATTGAACTATAGTAATGTTTTATAATAACTGACATTTTATGTGTTCTATTATTTAGGATTTATTAAGTAATAAGACAAGAACAGCCATTTTAAAATGTCATTTAATTTCTCTAAGGAAATTTAAAGAATGTGGAACTGAATTTGGTACTGAATGTTCAAAGGCCTAAAAGTTTTTTCTCAGTCTTTATGTAATTTAAACAAAACCACGTAAATTTTGTTGTCAGTGTTTCTCCTTTTCTACTCCTGAGTGCACTGAATGACTGGTTTTTATTCTGGTAATGATATGGCTGTATGTGCGTGCAATGAAATAAAAATTAATTGCATCGATTGTATGATTTTTTTGTCCCAGAGAGCCTGGATTAATAGAAGTCCAGTTTCTATCAGGCAATTATCAACAGTGCCCAAACAGGACTGAAAATATTTATTTGATCTGTCAGTAAAAGTGGAGTAGGGTGACCTCAGCAGAGCCAATTCAATTGATTGAGCGTTGAGGCAGGAATACTGGAAGGTGTGTGTCCTTGACGGTATTAGTCCCTAAAATGAAAGAGCCAGACAGAAACACATGAAGTGTGCAGAATGTCAATGTGTGTGTATCTCATAATGTCTGGAAGTGGCCCTGCCAGGAAGGAAGAATATGGAAAATGTGCAGAACAAAATCAGTAGCTGATACGTCAGTCTCACCAAGGGCTAAAGCAACTGAGCAGGAAGTCTGACTCCAATCAGAACTGGGCAACGTGGGACTGGAATCCAAGGTGTTGGGCTGTAAGGTCATTGCGCTTTGAAACGTGGGCAAATAAGACACTTGAAAAGGCCAAACAAGGCAGCCCATGGAGTGAGAAAAATTACCCAGTGTATCTGCTGCTCCAGAGCTGCTCCCAGCTGAAAATCTCTCATCTTTAGCTAATTGAATCCCACTGAGGAGATAACTTCAACAATTTTGAAGAATAAATTCCAGTTTGCCTAGGATAGTAATTCCAATTTTCTGGAAATATTAAAGTGATTTCCTTAATATCTCTTTAAGCTCAGGAAAATTTAGAATCAACAAAACCGATGATGAATTATATCAAATCTGTATATTTTATTTATTTGCTAAGGTAAGGAGTAATTGGGGAATTTTTTTGTACTTAAAAAATTTGTAATTGTTAAGACAATTTATGTTATTAGGTTACAGATTCATCTTTCTTTTCCAGTAAAAAGGCAATTTAGAAATCAATTTTTGACTTTTGTCTTTAAGTTGAAAAGTTTAAGAAATTAATCTAAATATAAAAACAATAATAGAATGTAAAAATAACATTTATTTATTATATTTCTGGGCTTGTTTAAATACTTAAGATAGTTTTGCTTGTTAAATAGCATATGAATTGCTTAACAAGATAGTGGATATATTCAATTTACAAATACAGTTTAAAATATTTAAAGAAATTTAGTTAAAGCTTTCAAAATTATCTTATAAATGTTCAAATAGATTTGCAAATAAAATAGTAAGACTTGTAAGTTGAACATAATGACTTTTGGAAAATCTTAAGTTTGGCATTTTATTTACTTGAATATTTTGATTAGTAATTTAAAAGGCAAGGAGCCACAGATAGTCTTCTCTATGCACTGAAGCCACCCTTCAAGGCAACAACTCATACTAACAAAGTGGAATGAGCTGCTACTGGGACATGGACCACTCTGGGAGGGTGGGTGGAAAGAGAGAGGAGCAGGAAACAGAAGCTCATTCATGGAAACCACAGGAGCAATAAACCAGAGCTGCCAAGAAAAGCACAGAGGATCTTCAAAATATAATACTAAGGGGAATATAGATCTAGACTGCAGTGAAATATTTGTGAATTTAAAACACATGCATACACAACCTGTAATTATACACCATGCAGAGATTCAAAGATACCACACAAGAGCATACGTCAAGCACATGGGCACCTCCACAAGGAAGGGGTAATGGTAGATGAGAGAGGGGAAAAAATGAGAGGGCCTGGCAGCAACAATCGTGATAGGACCATAAACTAAGGAGTAGGATCAACCAAACCCATGGCTACCTGTGTTTTCAATTGTTTTAAAAGAAAAAAGAAAAGAAAACAAGGACAGAAAGGAGAGAGGGAGAAAAACGAACTAACAACCATACACTGGGGTTGATTCTATCCTGATCTGATTTGCAAAAGGCCCTTCAACTCAGCCTTCCTGTTGCAGGTTGGAAAATATATATATATATATACATATAGTTTCTAGTGGGAAACTAGGTATATATATCTTCAGACTCACTTGGCTCAACAAAATACCAAACTTCATGGTAGTTACTATTCTAAGAGCAACTTCTTTCTTTTGCCTGTCCCATCACTGGGATCTGATAAACACTAAATATTGGTGATAATTATGAGAATAGTAACTGGAGTTTGCATTTCCAAATGTGTGGATGAAGATAAGGTTCCCTTCTCAATTTTTTAAATGTTACCATTTCTCGCCATCCCCCAAATTTGTACAAGTCATTCTGAAATGAAACACCAACTATTCGCACATTAACTGAAGAAATTAATTTTTGCCCCTTCTTCCCTCTTTTTGTTCCAACCATTAAGAAATGTGAGAAACTAATTAGTCTTTATGTAAATTTAAATTAAACCATGTATATTTTGCTGTGGGTGTTGCTCCTTTTCTACTCCTGAATGCTTTGAATGAATATTATTTATTCTGGTAATGAGATGTCTGTATGTGCGTGTGATGAAATTAAAATTAATTGCATCAATTATATGATTTTTTTTTGTCCCAGAGAGCCTGGATTAATGGAAGTCTAGTTTCAGTCAGGCAGTTACCACCCGTGCCCAAACAGGACTGAAAGTATTCATTTGATTTGTCAGTAAAAGCGGACTAGGGGTCGGGCGCAGTGGCTCACACCTGTAATCCCAGCACTTTGGGAGGCCGAGGCAGGTGGATCACGAGGTCAGGAGATTGAGACCATCCTGGCTAACAGGGTGAAACCCCGTCTCTACTAAAAATACAAAACAAAAAACAAAAAAAAAGAATTAGCCGGGCATTGTGGCGGGCGCCTGTAGTCCCAGCTACTCGGGAGGCTGAGGCAGGAGACTGGCGTGAACCCGGGAGGCAGAGTTTGCAGTGAGCCGAGATCGTGCCAGTGCACTCCAGCCCGGGTGACAGAGCGAGACTCCGTCTCAAAAAAAAAAAAAAAGTGGACTAAGGATCTCTGCAGAAGCCTCTGACATTCCCACACTTTACCCCAGGACAAACTTCAAGGTGGGAAACTGGTCAACAAAATAAAGGTAAGAGTTTCCAATTTCCAAAGGTGGGAATTGTCTCCGCAGGACAGAGGTGCAGAAACACTTTCCCATAAAAGACCAGATAGTGCATATTTTAGACTTTGTGGAGGAAGAGGCAAAACTGAGAATATAACATAAGTACAAGAAAGGAAACTCCTGCTTTCTCCACCCCATCTGCTATTTCCATGATACTCACCACTTCAGATGCTGGGCTGCAGTGCTGTGAGCCTGCCAGCTGGATGGAGCCTCTGAGAGTGGAGGGGGAATCATGGTGGAGCTTGGTGTCTGCAGCCCACAGTGCTTGCCCACTCAATCCCTGACTGCTGGACATAAGAAAAACAGGCAGCTGCTTGGAGTTGGCTCACAGGCCATGGTCCTTACTCTAAGGAGTCATATCTACCCATAAAATGAACAATCCATGGATGAAGATGCTTAATTGAGAAAAGGGAGTATAATAATTACCGGATGAGAGGGCAGGTCTTTAATCTGGGTGATGGCAGGAGCAATGGATTCACCAAACCCCTTTAATTTTCCTGCTAGCCACACTACTGGACTATATTGCCCAGCATCCCTTGCAGTTAAGTTGGGGTCATGTGACTGGGCTCTGGCCAATAAAAATGATGTGAGCCTGGCAGTAGAACTTTCTGCCAGATTCCAGATTCCACGGTGGCCATAGCAGCTGTGTGTTATGTGTCATAATGCAGAAAGACCAGGGTCTTCAAATGACTACATAAAGCAGAGGTTTTGCCACCACCCGCCACACTTGGGATTGTAATGCAAAGAAGAAATAAATCTTTATTGATGAAAACCACTGGCATTTGGGGGTTGTTACAGCAGTCAGAAGACTGGCTAATAGAGGCAGCAAGAAATAGAGGGGAGAGAGAACGGTGCCCATGTGGGTTATCCTGCAAAAAGGGCTCACTGTCCAATGTGCTGGAAGCCAGTACTTTGACAACAGGTTTCTGAGAAAAGGAAAGCTTTATACTGCAAGTTGACTCACAAGGAGACAGGAGTGAAGCTCAAACCTGTGCTAGTTTCTATTAGAAAAGGTTCACAGGGTGGATTCTGAGATTAGTAGGTAATTGGAAGGAAAGGGGAGGTCTGGAAAGTCTTTCGGCATGTACAATTATCTTTTTGTGCTAACTCATATGCAATTGCAGGGGAAGTTAGTATGAAACATGCAGTGAAAATTCAGGCTGTGATGCCAGTAGGCTCGTCCTGTACAAACTCCAGTCATCCATATTGGTTCCACCTGATTTCATTTTACCTCATAAGCAAAGTTTCAGTGCTTCAGCAAGTTTTTTCTTTTCTTTCTTTCTTGTTTGTTTGTTTATTTGTTTATTTATTTATTTATTTTGAGACAGAGTCTCACTCTGTTGCCCAGGCTGGAGTGCAGTGGCGTGATCTCAGCTCACTGCAAGCTTCACCTCCCAGGTTCATGCCATTCTCCTGCCTCAGCCTCCTGAGTAGCTGGGACTACAGGCGCCTGCCACCACGCCCAGCTAATTTTTTGTATTTTTAGTAGAGATGGGGTTTCACCATGTTGGCCAGGATGGTCTCGATCTCCTGACCTTGTGATCCACCCGCTTTGGCCTCCCAAAGTGCTGGGATTACAGGCGTGAGCCACCGCACCCGACCATTGTTTCTTTTCTTATCTGCCATCCCACAGCCTCAAGAATTTCTGTGAGCTACTGGTTTCTTTAACTTTTGGGGGCAGAGTTTCACGTGTGCCCCACAAAGTCCTAATAGTTCCATAATGAGGGACCCACACCTCCTAGAGAGGGGATGTTTCTGAAAGGGTCATCACTGAGGAGCAGAGCTGGACTAATACAAGATGAGACAAGGCATGCCAAGATAGAGGGCAGCCTTCTCAGTGGGAGGCTGTCATTTTCAGAGAGAAATAAGCTATGTTTTCTCCATTTCATCTGCCTCCTGGTAAGCTATCATCCTATGGTATCTTTGAGATGAGGCACCCATACTGTGCTCTGAAAGGAACAATAAAATCACCTGAGAGTCTTCAAACTAGGTGAGAGATAAACGACAATGTTAGAAGAGGAGTATCCACAAAACCATGAGTATACAGAATAAGAAGAAAATATAAGCTGAGAATAGAGGGAGTCAGCAACAGTGGAAGATGCGGATTTTAGGGAAATGTGCCGTGCGTGAACACCACAGGATAGCCAACCTTATGTTGTCTATCCTAGAGGAGTCACTAGGGAAATATCCTAGCAAAATTACTTTGTTTAACATGAAATTTTCAATAATCAGAACTTACAGAGTACAGTGGTTAAGAGTGTGGGCTTGGAAGCCGGACTGTGTGAGTTAAATCTTGTATCATTTGCCAAGTCTGGGACCTAGAGCAAATTTTCACCAAGCCCCCTGCATTTTCCTGCTAGCCACATGACTGGACTACATTGCCCAGCATCCCTTGCAGTTAGGTTGAGATCATGTGATTGGGTTCTGACCAATGAAAATGATGTGAGCCTGGCAGTAGGATCTTCTGCAAGATTCCAGATTCCAGGGTGACCATAGCAGCTGTGTGTTATGGGGCTATAATGCAAAAAGACCAAGGTCTTCAAATGACTACATAAAGCAGAGGTTTCCCTGCTGCCCCCCACAGCTCCCTGCTGCATTTTCTCATCTGCTAAATGGGGATGGTATTATTCTTTAATTCATAGAGATCTTGTAAGAATTAGCCTAAAACAATTAAGATACATTTTTTAAATGTGGCATTTATTAGGCAGTTGATAAATGCTAATTATTATAGCATTTAGTAATGCTTTAATAATAGCATTGGAGGTGTGAAAGTTGATGTGGCTGAGAAGCTCAATTGAATGGAAGCTCAATTGCCTGTTCCCATACACAATATCAGAAAAGTTATTTTGAATATTCATGGGACACCAAGAATAATCCAAATGGGAGGATGAGAGTCCCAGCCCAATGTCAGTACCTATTTTCTCTGGGAGGCTTCTTAGGAAAACCAGATATCTCATAGTTGAGCAGGGCTCTCTGCACACAGGCTTTACAGATCTTAGATTCTCTGCCCTGTATCTCTCACAAGGTCTCAGTTCTCTGAGCTGAGTCCTGTTCTGCTGTTCATTTAAGAGTCTCCAAGTGGAGCCCACCATAGTCTAAATTGCCAAAGCCGCTGATACAGGTAGGTGTATTACTTTAGCTCAGACACCAGCACAGCCTCTGCTCTGTTCCTGTTGTTATCTGCCCTTGGTGTTATCCAGAGGTCTGAGCTGTTGCATCTTGATCTCCAGGAGTTGGTTCCCTCGGGCCTAGGTCTTGTTTTCCAGGTCTGTCTCCATGCATGGCCTCTGCTCTGGGTCTCTTCCTGCCAAACTGCAAGATCTTTATCATCAAAGTATCCTGGGGCCAGGTATCATATTTACCCAGGAAAAGCGCAACACATGGTCATGACATTATAGTAAAGAGTCTTGAATTCAGATGGAGGAGGAGAAAGAAACCTGTCCTGGGAGTCAAGATTCCCAAAGTGCACCTTCATCTCAATTAAGAGGCATGTTAGCTCTGCTGTCTAGACATTCCTAGAAGGGAATGAAGGGAAACAGATTTCAGGTATAGTGTTTTCTTTTTTTTAATTTTTATTTTAAATTAAGGGGTGCATGTGTAGGTTTGTTACATAAGTGGACTTGTGTCATGGGGTTTTGTTGTACAAATTACTTCATCACCCAGGTAGTAAGCCTACTACCCATTAGTTATTTTTCTTGATCCTCTCCCTCTACCCACCCTCCACCCTCCGACAGGCCCCAGTGTCTGTTGTTCCCCTATATGTGTCCATGTGTTCTCATCATTTAGCTCCCACTTATAAGTGAGAGCATACGGTATTTGTTTTTCTGTTTCTGTGTTAGTTTGCTCAGGATAATGGCCTCCAGCTCCACCCATGTTCCTGCAAAGGACACAATCTCGTTCTCTTTTTTATGGCTGCATAGTATTCCATGGTGTATATGTCCCACATTTTATTTATCCATTCTATCACTGATGGGCATTTAGGTTGATTCCATGTCTCTGCTATTGTGAATAGTGATGCAATGAACATATGCGTGCATGTGTCTTCGTAATAGAATGATTTATATTCCTTTGGGTATATACCCAGTAATGGGACTCCTGGCTCGAATGGTATTTCTGTCTTTAGGTCTTTGAGGAATTGCCACACTGTCTTCCTTAATGATGGAACTAATTTACACTCCCACCAACAGTGTATAAGAGTTCCTCTTTCTCCACAACCTCACCAGTATTTGTTATTTTTTGACTTTTTAGTAATAGCCATTCTGACAGGTGTGTGATGGCATCTCAAAGAGCTCCTGCACTACAAAATAAACTATCAACAAAGTAAACAGACAACCTACAGAATGGAAGACAATTTTTGCAAACTATGCATCTGACAAAGGTCTAATATTCGCATCTGTAAGGAACTTAAACAAATGTACAAGAAAAAAAGCAACAACTCCATAAAGAGTGAGCAAAGGACATGTCTTCTTTTCAAAAGAACACATACATGTAGCCACCAATCATATGAAAAAAAGATCAGGTATAGTGTTTTCAGTGACGGGACAGGCATGGAGGAAGATAATCAAAGTCCTCTTATGTGACATGGCAAGGAGATTAGAGTGAAAGAGAACCAGGAAGATGAGGAAAGAGGAGCAGACACAAAAATGGAGAAAGGAGGGTAAAGAAGAGTTGAGGTGGAGAGAGAAGACTCTAAAGACAGAGAGGATGGACATATGAAGAGAAGTTGAAGCTCAGGACCTGGTAGAGAGCCATGGGGTTTAACCTAAGGTATGAATGAATGGAAGCAAGCCATGGCTATGGTTGCCACCAAGCCAAGAGATGTGTTTCCCCTTGACTGAGGGGTGTGAGACCCCCAGGGTCAGGGCTCCTGTTCAGTCACAGGACTTTCCATCCCAGCTCAGATGTCCCCAGAGAGGATACAGCAGTCACTCCTAGAGGCCACTGCAGGGAACTGAAAATTATTCTCTGCTCCATTTTTTGTTGGTGGGGAGAAAGGATGAGGAATTAGTCACGCCCTTGTGGGAACCCAGAAGATGCTTCCCTTAAGAGCCCTGCAAGGCCACAGGGACTCTTGCTTGGGCCCAGGAAAAATGCTGCTTCCAAGGAAGAAGCAGCTCTGGCCCTGGCCTCCATTCCTTCAGTCCTCTTTAGTCTTCAGCCAGGGACAAGGACCCCAGGCTGCCCAGAGATGAGAATGAGAACATAGGTATGTTCTATTGCAGAGAACATAGGTTTGGGTTAGTGTCGCATGGGATGGGGATGGGGGTGGTCACAGGAGGCAGGAGGATCTGAAAGAGGTCTTGTTCACAAAGCACCCTCTTCTGTCACATCCCACTTGTGTGCTCACCAATGCATCATGTTAAGTAGTGCTGGACACATGCAAGATGTCTTTCTCCTCAGAGTAAGCCTCACAAGAGTAGGAAACAGGGGGTTGGGGGAGGAATACGGAAGGGAATAGGCATTCTCCTTGCAGCGTGTTGGCCCAGAGGAAAGAAAAAAGCCCTGAACATGTGGTGCAGCCCTGGGCCTCTCAGGATTCTCAGGAGGATGCAAGACCAAAGGAAGCCAGGGTAGGCATCTGGGGACAGACAGGCAGGTGACCCCAGTCCCAACCTCCTCTATCCCACTCTGTCTCAGACCACTGAAAAGCGGTGATGACTCTGGGAACCCCCTGCCCAGCCCCACAGTCTGGCAGCAAAGAGGAGCGTGGGGTCGGGATAGACCACAAGGACTCCTCTCGGTCTGCCCCCCACCAACTGGGTTACCTCAGGCAAGGTGTTTCCCTTCAGTTCTGGGTCTAAAAACACCATTAAAAAGAAAATATCAGAAGTAAAAATGTAATTATAAAGTGCTTACCTAAGTGCCTGGCACAATGCAAGTGCTCACCTCATTGCCTGGCACAGTGCAAGTGCTCAAAAGCTGAGAAACTTCATGGGGGATGGAAGGGGGAGGAACAACTCTGAAGGAGGGAGGCTGAGCCTCCGCGATTGCTGCGGCACAGAAGTGATGTCCCACGAGCTCAACACCTGAGCCACCAAGCCCCTGCAGTGGGAGAGGAGTCCTTGTTGTCCTCATTTTGCTGTTCTCATCAAAATCTGCCCCCAAACCTGGCTGTCTTGGGAGTCTAGTCACTTCTTCCTGGCTGTTTCCAAGGATGCTGAAGACCACATTGCTAGGAGACCAGGTCAGAAGATTCTCATAAGGTGATTCCCCTCCTGCTACCAACTTAGAGAAGAGCAAGCTCCCATTTCTGCTTTTATAAAACTGCTGCTTCTAAATTTCTTCCAAATGTCTCATTTCCGAGTGGACTTTCCCCTCTAAACCCGTGTAATTTACCATATGATGTGTGTTTCATTCAGTGTAAATCCATATCTCTATTTGTTGTTGTTCACTTTCTGCCAGAGGGACATCCTAAAATGTTTCCTGTAGTGCAAGACTGCTGGTGGTGAATTGTTTCAGCTTTTGTATGTCTGAAAAAGTCTTTATTTCACGTTTACTATTTCTGAAAGACATTTTTGCTAGGTATGTAATTCTAGGTTGACAGTCCTGATATTTCAATACTTGAAAGATACTGCCTTACTGTCTCTTGACTTGTGTTAATTCCCATGAGAAATCATACTCAACTTTGTTCCTTAGAACTTAACATATTCACCTAACATGCCTTTTTTCCTAGGTCTTTTAATATCTTATTTTTGATTTGACCAATCAATAATGTATAATAATAATGTATGATGTGCCTTGGTATCATTTTCTTCAGTTTCATTCTTTTCTTTTTCTTCTTCTTCTTCCTCCTTTTTCTTTGCTATCAGGCTTATTGGATTTCTAAAATCTGTGAGATTATCTTGGCCACTATTTCCTAAAATGTTTCTCTTCCCTCTTCTTTCTCTTTCTTTTAGGGACTTCTAATATATGTATATAAGACTTCTTAAAGTTTTTCCACAGACCACAGATGTGCTGTTTATATTTGTAAAGTTCTTTTTCTTCTATGTTTCATTTTGGATCATTCAATGGCTGTTTCTTCAAGTTTACTATTTTTTTTGTTCTGCAATGTCTAATGTGCCATTGTTTCCATCCAGTGTCTTTTTTATCTCACACGCTGTAATATTCATTTCCAGAAATTTGATTTGGTTCTTTTTCATATCTTCTATGCCTTTCCCTAATTTTTGAAAATTGGATTACACTTATAATAACTGCTTTTTCTATACTTTTCTGCCAATTCTATTTTGTGTGTCTATTCTGGATCTGTCTCAATTGATTGATTTTTTTATCTTTATTATGGGTTGTATTTTTCTGCTTCCAAAACTCTAATAATTTCTGATTGGATGTCAGATATTATGACTTCTACTTCTTGGCTGCTGAATATTTTCGCATTTTTATAAATTTTCTTGAGCATTGTTGTGGGATGCAGTTAAGTTGTTTGGACATAATTTAATCCTATCAGGTCTTACTTTTAAGGTTTGTATGGTAAGACTGCTATAGCACTTAGTCTATGATGAATTAGTACCTATTAATGAAGCAAGATCCTTCTGAGTACCCTACCCAATAACTAATTAATGATGAGGTTTTCCCGTGTGGCTGGTGGGAACAGGTACTATTCCCAGTATCATGTGATTGCTGGGTGCTGTTATCTCTAGGGTTTTTTAGGTGCTTCTTTCCCCAGCCTTAAATGGTTTCTTCACATGCATGCACTGATCAGTGCTGGACTGGATACTCAAGGGATTCCCACTGCGGTTCTTCAAAATTCTCTCCGTGTGCAGCTGTATCCTCCCTCATACTCTGTCTTGCAAACTCCTGCTTTCTCTTCTCAGACCCTCGGTTCTGTCTCCTCAGCTAAAGGAGTCTGGTTACCCTCTTTGTGTGATGTACTGGAAACTCTATCCCTGTAGTAAGCTGGACAATTGTAGGGCCTGCTTTGCTTTTTTCTCATCTTTCAGGAGCCAACATCCTCTTTTGCCTGATGTCTAGTGTCTTGCAAACAGCTGTTTCATATGCTTTGTTTGGTTTGGGTTGTTTATGGTGGGAGGGTAATTCCATTTCCTGTTATTACATCTTGGCTGAAATAGAACCTCCTCATTGCAACTTTAATTGCAATTTTAAGTAATTTTTACTCCATGTCCAATTTTAGCCACTTATTAAACAAAGTATTTGAACACAATAAGTCCACTTAACACTCAGCCATTTTATAAGGAGTGTTGCTTTATTTCAGTGACCATTTATCCTACCCTAGGCACTGATGTATGATATTTATTCATCCATTTAAAGCTCAATTATTGTTTGAAGGGTATGCAATTATTTAAGATATTCATTGTGAAAACAGAGGATTCAGGGATGAAGAAATACACATGAAGAGCATAGCTTGCAAATGATGGAAGCTGGATATCAACCCAGGCAGTCTGTCCCTAAAACCTGCACTCTTCATTGAAGAAGATGCTATGCTGCCTAGCCCAGGGTGGAGTCGTATCAACCATGATTAGAAACATATTTTCAGAGCAATACCCCATTGGGATCTTTCACAAACAATAAACCTCTTATTTCAGTGTTAAATATGAATCATGTCACACACAGCACACTGAACGGACAAAGCTTCTTTTAAACAGAAGAGCAGTTTCCTGCTCTCACATGGCCACAGATGAGCAGGGTAATGCTTGTCAAGGGCCCAGAGTAAAACATGCTAGAGGAGGAGTCAGGAGATCTTAGGTAAGACATTGCACAGTTTGCTTTTCACACTGTGTGGATTAGTAGAAGGAATAGGAAGGGCCATGACCCAAGAAAGGGATGGTGGGAAAGAGTGCTGTCAACCGCTTCAGTAATATCCAAATAGCCACATCAAAAACTAACCACTTCTGTGCACTGTCCCTCACCGTTTGCATGACTTACATTTCACTCCCACCATGACTCCATGAAATACGGGTGCTCTCACTTCCCCAATTCAAAGATAAGGAGTTTTGACGCTTAGAGAAGCTGAGAGAGTCACAACCCAAGATCACATCTCTAATGGCTGGTGAAGGTAGGAGTCACACTTAGTTAGGCCTCTGGCTGCAAAGTCCTCATTCTTACCCAGTATCTTCCATTGTCTCTCCAAATACTTTATGGGAATTAATTCATTTCCTCTCCCTAGCAGCTCTCGGAGGTAAGCACTATCACTAACTGAGGTAAGTACTATCATTAACTGATAGTACTGTGTCCCCACCAGATCTCATGTTGAAATGTAATCCTCAGTGTTGGAGGTGGCCTGGTGGGAGGTGTTTGGGTCGTGGGGTTGGACCCCTCATGAATGGGTTAGGGCCATCCCCTTGATAATGAGTGAGTTCAATTCACACAAGATCTTGTTCACACAAGATCACAAAAGATCTTTCACTTGATTTTATGATGTGAAGCGTCTGCTCCCACTTTGCCATGAGTAAAAGCCTGAAGGCCTCTCCAGAACCTGAGCAGATGGCAGTGCCATGCTTCCCGTACAGCCTGCAGAGCCGTGAGCCAATTAAACCTCTTTTCTTCATAAATTACCCATTCTCAGGTATTTCTTTATAGCAATGCAAGAATGGCTTAACACCTTATCCCCAAGGTTTAGTTGAAGAATCTGAGGCACACAGTGGTTAACCGATTTCCAGGGGAAAAATTCACTTGAACTCGATATTGCCAATTATAACAGCAGCAGCAATAGTAATAACCAACAAGTACAGAGGATTTATTATGTAACTGGTACTATTCTAAATGCTTTATATACATGAGCTCTATTAACTTATTAAATATTTTCATTACCCCACAATATGCTTCTATTATTAGCTCTCTTCAACACACGAGATAATCCAAGCAGAAAAATGTGAAGTGGCTGCTATAGGTCATATAGATGGTGAGGGCAAAAGGGATTTTACCCCAGGGCAAGCTGGCTCTAAACCCTCATTCATAACCACTATGCTACACACACATACACACACACACACACACACACACACACACATTGCACACACAAATATGCACATACAAATACAGAAAAAACGTACACACATACCAACACACACTACACAAAATCATATACACATGTATATATTCACGTATATATACACACACCATGCACTTACATATACACACATGTCCATAAGCACATGCACACAGAGACACATATATACACATGCACATTTACACATGTATACATTCCCACATGCACACACACACAAATATGCACACATAGAAAAATACATACCCACTCATACACATATATACACATATTCAACACACATATACACACATACACGCCAAATGCAATATTTGGCTTTATTCTTAACTATAAACAATTGTGTGATAAAAATTAAATTATAAATTTCTCCAAACACGAAGGTTTAGGGCTGCCAGTCCTTGATGCATACATGTCAGATCCAGGAGTTTTAGGATGTGTCTGGAGCCAGTTTTTATTATTTCTCACACAAAGAGAAACCCAAGCCCTTTTGACATTCACCATTTGCGGAATGTGGATTTGCCGTTTCCTTTTTCATTAAAACAAACCCTCCCAGAATAGAATGAGGTGCAGGGGTGATGGGCTGCTAACAGTGGTAGGGCTGTCAGATTTAGTAGATGAAAATACAGAATGCACAGTTCAATTTGAATTTCAGATAAGCAATGAAGATTTTTAGCATAATTGTGTCCTAAATTGCAGCCTATCCTGTATCTTACCTGGCCAGTCTATTTTTTTTAGGATAAGTATATCCCAAATTGCATCCTTTGTTCTATATTTTATCTGGCAACCTTGAACACGGGGCACGTGGACTGAGGGCTCATCATAGAGTTACGTGAGGGCTGTCACTGACTTCTTGTATTTTGGTCAGAAATGGAGTTTAGCAAACACTGTGGGCTCCTGAGTGTATTGCGTGGACTTCAGAGACATCCTGCTTCCTGTGTTGTTCAACTTTATGCCTCATTTCTGTGCTTCCAGTTACAGAGGACAAACCACAGGAGGTTATTCCCTAGGGAAAGTGGACACAAGAGTGGGAGCAAAATCTATTTCTCATCACCAAAAATTTGATTGGCTAGAAATTCACCTCCACTGTCATCTTCTTCCCGAGTTGCAATAGTAAAATACATTGATTGAAATACTGAAACTTCAGCCTACTGTGGTCCAAAATTCTTTCTTTATAAACAGGGCAATTTGCTCACGAAACAAATCACCTTAAGTGAAGTGAATTTTTCTCACTAAGATACCTAACATTTCGTAGTAATAATTATAATTCCCATTATTCTGCTGTCACTTGGTTTTGTGGACAGAACTATTACTGTATGTAAACTGTGTGCAATTGCTTAACAAGATAAAAGAAGTTGTAATCCATCCATTTTTCAGGTAGAAATTACCTGATCTAAATATTTCTTTTTGACAGAAGAAAATTTTTCTCAGATAAGAATTAGGAAAAAGTTGAAGGTTGAAAAAGCTGGGTATATATTTAATGCCTCCGGTAGCACACAGAGTAGCTAGTTTTATTCAACTCACTGCACAAATATGAAATGAAGTGGGTTTCACCAAATACATCTTGGGATAAAAACAAAGTCTGTCTTTAGTCCCATATGATTTAGTGAAATTCATGCACCACTGGTTTGTTATAAATTAAAGATTAGTACAGTTTTTTGGCTTGGTTCAAAATACAAGGTGACAGAAATGAATTAACTTTACAGATATTCTTAGAAATTGTATTAGGCTCACCCAAGTAGAACAACAGGGAGGCAGTTGTTAAGGAAAGTGGTAAAATTCAAGTCAGAAGTTTTCTGAAAGAAGCAATGGTCTGCCAGGGTGTTTCAGACAAGGAAAGAGGAAGAGCACATCCAAGGAAAGCTGGCTCATTGCCCTGCTGATGCTGTGGTCAGGTGGGGAGTCCAATGATAGCATGAATCATTAGCCAGAGCTGAGCCCTGCAAGGGCTTCATGAATCTGAAGGATTGAAGGAGGAGTAACAAGTCATTATTGCATGCCTTCTCCTTCTACTGGGGTCTCCAATTCACATACACAGAGAGACCAGCCCAAAAATTTAAATAAGAGCTCCAGGTGTAGATTGCCAAACATCTAAAGGCACTGACCACTTAGCCCCAGCTGGTGGCTCTGATGTGGGAATAGATCTTCCAGTTCCAAGAAACTCTAAATATGCAGATTAGATGAGAGTTTCCAATTTTGTCGTCTTTGCCACCGTCACACCAAGTGTCAGATTCCTCAGTCTTCCAGCCCATGCCAAGGTCTGAGGGGAGCGGGTGGATGAGTAGCAGATAGCTGGAAGAACACTCAGGGGGCCACGGGCAGGTGAAATGTGGTTTTATTTAGCAACCGTCTCACACTGTCCACCTTTATCTCGGCTGCCGGCTCTGGCTGCAGCCCCTCTTCACAGACGACCTGCAGCTGCTGCCACTCCCACGCTTACAGCTGCATTCCCTGGAGCACTTGCTGGATAAGTGGAGCTGTGCACCTGCGCTCCAAACTCACTGAGTCACACTGGTTTGGATGTCTGTCTTGGCCTATTCTTGACCAAAGTACATCCATCTACTTTACAGCCACTGAGGTAACTAAAGTTAAAAAAAAAAAAATAGCATGGACCAAGAAAATAAAGCTGTAGATTGATTCAGGCTGTTGACCATGGTTTTGTTACCTTTGCACAATCTCAGGTAAAAAGTATTTTTTACATAAGACTTGGGAGAGGTTTTATTAATAGTGTTAGTAATTTTTCTTGTTCTGCAGTTGGACACAGCTGGTTAATATTGGGAGCTATAGATTGTGTTCCATGAATTCTCTTCCATGGGTAGACCAGGGTTCTTAGCTGCCTTCCAACTTTCCTGCAGCTGCCCTGAGTTCTTATGTCCGCCTCATCTTCCTGGAAATATGATTTAGAACTGGTTTTAGGGATGCTCTAGGTCTCTTTAGTGTTCTTGGGAAATGAGACAAGTATTTCTGATAGGCAATAATTTTTTTTATTATTATACTTTAAGTTCTGGTATACATGTGCAGAATGTGCAGGTTTGTTACATAGGTACACACGTGCCATGGTAGTTTCCTGCACCCATCAACCCATCATCTACATTATGTATTTCTCCTAATGCTATCCCTCCCCTAGCCCCCCACCCGCTGAAAGGCCTCATGGGTCATGTTCCCCTTCCTGCGTCCATGTGTTCCCATTGTTCAACTCCCACTTACAAGTGAGAACATGTGGTGTTTGGTTTTCTGTTCCTGTGTTAGTTTGCTGAGAATGATGGTTTCTAGCTTCATCCATGTCCCTACAAAGGACAAGAACTCATCCTTTTTTATGGCAGCATAGTATTCCATGGTGTATATGTGCCACATTTTCTTTATCCAGTCTATCATTGATGAGACTTTAGGTTGGTTCTAAGTCTTTGCTATTGTGAATAGTGCTGCAATAAACATATGTGTGCATGTGTCTTTATAGTAGAATTATTTATAATCCTTTGGGTATATACCCAATAATGAGATTGCTGGGTCAAGTGATATTTCTGGTTCTAGATCCTTGAAGAATCACCACACTGTCTTCCCCAATGGTTGAACTAATTTACACTCCCACCAACAGAGTAAAAGCATTTCTGTTTCTCCACATCCTCTCTAGCATCTGTTGTTTCCTGACTTTTTAACTGGTAAGAGATGGCATCTCATTGTGGTTTTGATTTGCATTTCTCTAATGAACAGTGATGATGAGTTTTTTTCCCATATATTTGTTGGCCTCATAAATGTCTTCTTTTGAGAAGTATCTGTTCATATCCTTCACCCACTTTTTGATGGGGTTGTTTTTTTTTTCTTGTAAATTTAAGTTCCTTGTAGATTCTTGATATTAGCCCTTTGTCAGATGGATAGATTGCAAAAATTTTCTCCCATTCTGAAGGTTGCCCGTTCACTCTGATGATAGTTTCTTTTGTTGTGCAGAAGCTCTTTAGTTTAATTAGATCCCATTTGTTAATTTTGGCTTTTGCTGCCATTGCTTTTGGTGTTTTAGTCATGAAGTCTTTGCCCACACCTGTGTCCTGAATGGTATTGCCTAGGTTTTCTTTTAGGGTTTTTATGGCTTTAGGTCTTATGTTTAAGTCTTTAATCCATCTTGAGTTAATTTTTGTATAAGGCTTAAGGAAGGGGTCCAGTTTCAGTTTTCTGCATATGACTAGCCAGTTTTCCTAACACCATTTATTAAATAGGAAATCTTTTCCCCATTGCTTGTTTTTGTCAGGTGTGTTGAAGATCAGATGGTTGTACATGTGTGGCATTATTTCTGAGGCCTCTCTTCTCTTCCATTGGTCTATATATCTGTTTTGGTACCAGTACCATGCTGTTTTTGTTACTGTAGGCTTGCAGTATAGTTTGAAGTCAGGTAGCATGATGCCTCTAGCTTTGTTCTTTTTGCTTAGGATTGTCTTGGCTATATGGGCTCTTTTTTGGTTCCATATGAGATTTCAAGTAGTTTTTTCTAGTTCTGTGAAGAAAGTCAATGGTAGCTTGATGGGGATAGCATTGAACCTATAAATTACTTTGGGCAGTATGGTCATTTTCATGATATTGATTCTTCCTATCCATGAGCATGGAATATTTTTCCATTTGTTTGTGTCCTCTCTTATTTCCTTGAGCAGTGGTTTGTAGTTCTCCTTGAAGAGGTCCTTCATATCCCTTGTAAGTTGTATTCCTAGGTATTTTATTCTCTTAGTAGCAATTGTGAATGGGAGTTCACTCACGATTTGGCTCTTTGTCTATTATTGGTGTATAGGAATGCTTGTGATTTTTGCATATTGATTTTGTATCCTGAGACTTTACTGAAGTTACTTATCAGCCTAAGGAGATTTTGGGCTGAGACAATGGGGTTTTCTAAATATACAATCATGTCATGTGCAAACAGAGACAATTTGAATTCCTCTCTTCCTACTTGAATGCCCTGTATTTCTTTCTCTTGCCTGATTGCCCTGGCCAGAACTTCCAATACTATGTTGAATAGGAGTGCTGAGAGAGGGCATCCTTGTCTTGTGCCAATTTTTAAAGGGAATGCTTCCAGCTTTTGCCCATTCAGAGGATACTGGCTGTGGGTTTGTCATAAATAGCTCTTATTATTTTAAGAGGCATTCCATCAATACCTAGTTTATTGAAAGTTTTTAGCATGAAGGGGTGTTGAATTTTATCGAAGGCCTTTTCTGCATGTATTGAGAGAATTTTTAATGCAAAACAAAATAACTGAGATTCTATTCATTTTCAAAAAGCACATTTAGGTAGATGTTGTATCTTCAATAACCTATTGGTAGGATTTTCCACCCCTTGGCTGGTGTTTGTCCAGCCTCTCTCCTTAATGCTGGAATTAACAATACACCATGTATTAAAAGAAATGACCAGGAATCATGAGGATTTCATTCTAGTTCTGACTATGTTAAATAACCACTAACTTTCTAGGTAACCTTGGACATATCTTTTTTCTTCACCTCCCCTAACTAGGCTAAGTCATTGTTTTTAAATCTGTCATTCAAAAACACTGTTAAGATATTTGAGCATATTTTTGTATCACAAGGTGTGATGACATTTTGGGTGCGTACACTTGGTAAAGCTATCTTCCCTGGCCATGCAAACAAATGTTAATCTAGGAGTTGCTATAAAGGTTCTTCGTAGGTGTGACTATAATCCAAACATCAGTTGACTTTAAGTAAGTGTGATTATTATAGATAATCTAGGAGGGACAGATCCAATCAGCTGAAAGATATTAAGATCAGGGCTAAGACTTCCCTAAGCAAATAAATTCCACTTGTGAACAGGAGCTTCTCCCATGCCTGAGAGTTTCAGCCTACACTTCCTGAGGCCCTGCCTTGAGGATTTCAGATTTGCTTAGCTGCCCTCAGAGTTATGAAAGCCAGTTCTTTGCAATAATTTTTTTAAATGTCTATCTCCTACCGGTTGATGCCTGTCTGATATCCATGTATTATTGTTTACTTAAACCTTGGATTCGAACACAATCACAGAAGAAAACTTAAATATACTTATTTACAAAGTGACGTTTACAAATCTATCATAAATAGGGAGGTGGCATCACTTAATATAAATAAAAGATATCAATCATGTTTGCAATAAGAAACAGAAGCTGTCAGGCACGGTGGCTCACGCCTGCAATCCCAAAGCTTTGGGAGGCTGAGGCAGGCAGATCACGAGGTCAGGAGATCGAGACCATCCTGGCCAACATAGTGAAACCCTGTCTCTACTAAAAATACAAAAATTAGCTGGGCATGGTGACGCATTCCTGTAGTCCCAGCTACTCGGGAGGCTGAGGCAAGAGAATAATTTGAACCCAGGAGGCGGAGGTTGCGGTGAGCCGAGATTGCACCACTGCACGCCAGTCTGGGTGACAGAATGAGACTCCATCTCAAAAAAAAAAAAAAAGAAAAGAAAAAGAAAAAGAAAAAAAAGAAAAGAAACAGAAGCAACATTCAAATAAAGATCCATCAGAGACGGTACCTTTACATTTACAAAGCAGCTGTATTACTCACTATATTACACAAAGTATTTAATGCCATGTTTAGTCCAGGCATTCCCATTGCCTCAACATTCCTGACACTTGGAAAACGTTGCCCAAGGGACCGCTAATTTGCATCTCAGCTCCAGGACACTTGCCATGCTGTTTACCCACTCTGTCAGATCACAAATGCCTTTTGGACATATAAGAGTTGCTCTCCTAAATTCTTTGTTACTTTACAAACGTTAATGTTTCAGTTAAGAAATAAGAGCCCAAATAAGCTTTAACATATTTTGAAAAATATGTATTTCATTAAAACGTACTCACAATATGTCTCAGTCCTAGCTATGCACAAGCAACATTTTATCAGGCAGGGTAGGTAGGGGCATATTCAGAGACAATGATTCTTTTCCAAAGAAGTGAGCCATCAGCTCAGAAGGAACCCTGGAGTATAATCCTATATGCAATCATAAAGGTACTGCTGTCTTAAGACTCTGGGTTAGGCAGGAAAAACAGTGAAGGGCAAGATTCCTCACTAGAAAGATGCAAGATGAAACCCCTGAAAACATATGTGGAACGTGTCTATGTGTATTTTTAAAGATGACTAGCTGTATTAGTTTTTGTTTTTTGTTTTTGCTTTTGTTTTTTAAAGAGCCTATTCCCCCTACACATACACACACTATAATTAGAACTCTTTGGGTTTCACATGATAAAACAGAGTTAGGAAAGAAAAAAAACAAAAACAAGGAGTTGTAGTAGCTCACGTAATTAAAATGTTTAGGAATGTCTGGCTTCACGTATGGCTTGATCCAGTGGTTCACATGAGGTCATCACAACATCTTCCTCTTTCCTTCTCTTGGTTCCACTTTCTCTGGGTAAGGTCCATGCTCAAATCGCTTTTCTCTTCTGATGACCTGCAGCTCTGAACCTTATATCTATTAGATTCCAGTTCAACAAGAATCTGCCTCTATACCAGCATTTCTAGCTGAAGTCTCTCATTTGGATGGCTCTCTAGATCTGTGCCCATCTCAGAACTGAACCCATCTTCTGCACTGTAATGTTCTGACTTGTCTTAGGCCAGACCATACTATTTAATTCAAAGCTAGGGTAAAGACTCTTCTGAGTCTTTTGGCCTGTTCAGAAAGGGGTCTCAAGTTTAGAGGCCACCTGAGATGCTACAATAGATTCCCATGAAAAGTAATACATTCAGAGGTGTGCACAGGGCTTTAGGAACAAAGAAGAGATAAGGAGGCACCCAGAGACCAGCAGCAGTGAGAAGTTATTACCAACGTCCAGCCCGAGGGTACAAGGCAAGGAGGAAAGAGTGTAATTGGAGCCAACAAGAGCTGGAGCAGTGGGGAAGGGGACACCTGGCAGGAGCTGCAGTCTGAGATGAATGCAGTCAAAGCTGACACACAGTGTGAAACCAAGGCGGGAGCAGGAGCAATGTTCCATCTCTCTCCTCCTGGCATCAGATCTGCTGCGGGTGGTTCTCAGTGCCCAACTTCAACAAGAAGTCGACCAGCAAGGAAGGCCAGGGAATACAGTCCTCAAGATCAGCCTCCTGAGCCAAGTAGGGCTGGAAAGGGCAGACCATAGCATGGAGAGAGCAAAAATGGAAGATGACTAGCATCTGATGAGAACTGGTACTGTGGAGACCAACACAATGCAGTCCCATAACACGCACCACCAATAAGTAAGTAAGTAAATAAATAAATAAATAAATAAATAAATAAATAAATAAATAAGAAAAGAACAAGGATGTTGAAAGAATACATGAAATTCTCAGCCTGTCTTCTAGGTGCTTAAAATTTAAACTTTGCAGATTTTGTATAAGATAATGTCCAGATAATGTGATGATTACAGATATAGAGATTAGAAGTAGCAGAGCTGGGTTCAGGTCCTAACTCCACCTCTGACTACTTTTGGGACCACAGTTTGCTGTTTTCTTCTCTAAGTGTCAAAGGGTCTACTTTCTAGGCTTATTGAAGAATTAAATGAGATACAACATATCTTATGTCCAGCATTATGCCTGGCAAATATCAAGTGCCTAATAAAACATAGCAGTGATGACACTGGTGATGGTGGTAGTGATGGGGATAATGATAAATAGATTGAAAAGGTAGTAAAGGTGCCCATTTGTAAGCTGGAATGACAGAGTCAGAAGGAAACCATTTTCCTTAGTATTTGTAAGCCGTGCCACCTTTATTTTGTATGCAAATTCTTCTCACCTCCTTATTTAGAGAGATTTTGTCTTGGCCTATTTTAAGATATATTTTCTACTGAGCTTTGATTAGGCCAACAGAAAGTGCCATTTTAGAGACCTATTTCAGTATCTGTTCAATTTATTTTGCATCACTTGCCCCTGGCCATGCAATTGGCCCTAGTAGCTATAGCTAACATTGCAACTTGCTTTCAGTTTTAGATACACAAACGAGTTCTCTACAGGGTCTAGATTATCAGTGGCATATTTTGCTAAAAGATGTTTATCCCCTGCCACCATCACATGTAAGGGGGCCCACTTTTAACTAAGGGAAAAGCTGATTGAGTAGTATTAAAAATATTCTTGTCCTTTTCTGGAAACCAGCTCATTTAGAAACTCATCTATGAATTACAAAGCTTGCAAACCCAAGGCTCTTGGTATCCAAGAGTACAGAAGAAAAAAATCAATTAAAAACCCCTATGAGATCAGTGGGCTTCAGAAACCTCTAAGAAAGTGGACTATTCCTAGGAGCTTCCTAAAATACCCCAACAGAAGCAAATGTCAGTCTTTCTGTTGATAATAAAAATGAATGGAATAATGTCAGTACTATTGCCATGAACACTACAAAATGATACAAACCACTTTGGAGGGAAATACTGTTTTTTAGTACAGAAATCTACATCAATCTGATGGGGTGCATGATGGTTTCATCATTTTGCAAAGAATGGTCATAATAAGAACAACAAATAGAAACAATAACTGGTGTTTCTTAAGCATGATTTGAAGTGAACTTTGCCACAAAACCCATTTATGTGATGTAATTCTCAGAATCCTAGGGAAATATATCACCGACATGCTAGAAAGAGGAATCTGAAGTTCCAAGGTCTTACCCAAGGTTTCACTACTAGTAAGAGTTTAAAGTGAGCACTTAAGTCAGAGCTTCAGAGCCTACATCATAAAACTTTTACACTTATACTGTAACCCACCCTCAGAACTTGTATAAATCCTTTTGCCTTTGGTGTACTCCAGGTAGGATATGTTCAAGCAATTATGAACTAGATCCAAATGCCACAAGTGTCTTTTCTGGCTTACAGCTCCCAGGCAGGGCAGCTGTGCACTGAATTGGCTTTTCAAAATGATTACAACCTTGGTTCACTTTTAGAGTGACATTCGTCAGTGGATGAGTTTTGCACTTCCAGCTGGCTCAGATGTAGCTGGATCAGCCCCAAAATGATAGTGCCATTTGACCAAGAAGAGAGAGAAAATACTTAGTAACTGTATCAGACTCTTACCTTAGATTCTTCATTTCCCATTAACACATTTTAATTGGAACTTAGAAAACAATTAACACCTTGATGCAAGAAACTTCAAAACTGTGTCCTGTACACATAAATGCATTACAATGACCAAACTCAGACAAGAAAAGTCAAATGTTAATAGCTGAGACAAAAATAAAACCAAGATGAAAGAGAACGCCACAGGCTCTGAGCTGTGCTTGAAGCTGGGGAAAGTGTGATGTACACTTTGCAGAAATTAAACCTAAGAGTATAAGAAACTGACATATCCATTTCTTGAGAGCTAAAGCTGGGAATTTCTTTATCTTCAGGTACTTATTTTCTGGGCCATTTCTCAGTTTAACTCTGTCTGCAGTCATTTCTGTAAGGATTCCCAGGGTAGTTTTATTAGAATTAGACAACAAGGAATAAAATAAGCCTTCTGAAGCATGTTTTTGACAAAAGCACCACAGACAATAATGAGTGTCCAGAAATGGAAATTTTCTCTAGGTACAGGCTGTCTCCATGCTCCAGGAACTACTCTCTATGACATGAGAGGGGAGGGCAGGAGTCTCCAGAGTCCATGCCTCCTGCCCTCCCCTGTTTCATAAGGCCAGAAGATGCTTCTCCAAACAAATCAGAATTCTCTTGTGGGTTTTTGGGGTTTTCCACCCTGTCCTGTAATGAATCACAGACCCCTGGTTCATTCATGTTTCACTGAATACGTACTGAGTGCCAACTATGTTCCAGGCACTGTGAAGAGGAGGCTGAACACAAACAAGCCAGGCACCCGCCTTCACTGAGCCTTATGGGCTGGAGGAGAATTAGACACGAATGAAAGAGCCACAGAGGAGGTGTGAGATTGTAGCCTGACATGTCAGGGAGCAGCACCCAATGACGCTGAGAGAGACCCAAGAGGTGGAACTGATCCAGGCAGAATGCAAACTGGACAACAAAAGGCAGGGACTCCCACTGCTTCCTGTTCCTGATCTCCATCCAGGTGTGAGCTAGTAGGGTCCCTGCTCATCTGCTTACCCGGCTGGCAGGTGCTCTGGGCCCGCAGGATGTTTACTTTCTGTATTAGTCCATTTTCACACTGCTATAAAGAACTGCCCGAGACTGGGTAATTTGGATGAAGCTGGAAACTATCATTCTCAGCAAACTAACACAGGAACAGAGAACCAAACACTGCATGTTCTCACTCATAAGTGGGAGTTGAACAATGAGAACACATGGACACAGGGAGGGGATCATCACACTCCAGGGGCTGTCAAGGGGTGGGGGTCTAGGGGAGGGAGAGCATTAGGAGAAATACCCAATGTAAATGATGGTTTGATAGGTGCAGCAAACCACCATGGCATGTGTATACCTATGTAACAAACCTGCACGTTCTGCACATGTATCCCAGAACTTAAAGTATAATAAAATTATATAAAATAAAAGTATAATACAATTATATATATACACATATATATGAAAGAGGTTTAATTGACTCACAGTTCAGCATAACTGGGGAGGCCTCAGGAAACTTACAGAAAGTGAAGCGGCGGAAGCAGGCACCTTCTTCACAAGGCAGCAGGAAGGAGAATGAACACAGGAGGAACCACCAAACACTTATACAACCATCCGATCTCGCAAGAACTCGCTCATTATCATGAGAACAGTATGGGGGAAAAGACCCCCATGATTCAATTACCTCCACCTGGTCTCCCTTGACATGTGGGCATTATGGGGATTACAATTCAAGATGAGATTTTGGGTGAGGACACAGCCAAATCATATGACCTTCCCTCTGGTTTTCTTTGTCTTCCCTGAGGAAGTAAGACCTAAGCTGACATCTGAGAGGGAAGGGAAGTCAACTAGATTAATAGAAGCCGGCAGAACTTTCCTGAAAGGAGCATGGCATGTCCCAAGGTCTTGGGGGTAAGAAACAGTTGTGAGCACAACAGCCAGGTGGATTCACCACGGAGCTGATGTGGAGATTAAGCTTTAAGACCCCATTTCACACAGAACTCCTCCAAAGCCCTCTACTTCTTTGTGTATTTGCAATCTCGTCTTCATTTTCTTAAGCAGAGTCCACACTATGTGAAGTGCTTCAGACATCACAAAACTTAGGTCCATCCTGGAAAAGATCAAGGAGGAATCAGATACAGGATGCAGCCCGTGGCTATTAGGCCATGCTAGAGAGACTGGCTTTATCTTAAATGCAAAATCCAGGGTCACAGCACTGCCCAGAGTCCTAAAAGCAAAGGGAAACAATTCAAAAGGGTCTAAGCAGGGGGTGAAGACAAGATGATATTTGCATTTTGCAAAGCTCACCTGGCCACTGTGTGGGGATGATGGAAAGATGACCAGGGTGAATGCAGAGGGAAGAGTCCACATCTACCACAGCCACGCAAGGGTGAAATGAGAGTGGCTCAGGCTATGGAGCTTCATTTTCTTATCCAAAAATTTTAGATATTTTCAAAAACATTTCTTAGGGTTCATGCTCCTTGGCAGGAAGGCATTCCTTAAATTAGAGCATGTGATCAATAAGGCTATGAAATCAGAGCCCTGTCGTACAACAGCTTGTCAAGGTCATATTGGATTCTTTAATAACACTGGACAGAATTAGATGGTTACCAAAGTGCTACTTAGGGCCAATCTTCCGAGGAGTTTGTGCAATGTATCGTATATGGATTTGTGTATTTTTGAATGTGACTCAAATAGCATATTTTACTTGCTTAGAGTTTGCTGTTTCAATACAGAAGGGCATTCCATGTTTATTTCTTAAATTATTTTTATATTTTGGTCCACGTTCTTGACCACATTATATATTCCATAAGGAAACAAAGCCCATTTATACAAATCCCAACAGTATTTCCAGTGTCCAGCACAGAGCCCATACATAGCAGCAAATTGTTCAGCCAGTTATTCTTTTTGGATGTAGCAAATGCCTCTAGTTCTTGTCTTATATGCCAGGCAAGGGGCACAACATTGAGCAAAGCAGCCAAGTCCCTGCTCTCGGAGCTTGCAGTATCCCCAGATGCTTCCAATCTGCAGTGCCCTCTCCTCCACTTAGTAGGCCAAGAAATAAACCTAGTGGCTCGAGACTTAGCAACCTGTAGTGGGTTCCTTTGTGTCCACCTAAAAAAGATGTCTTCAAGGCCTAAGCTCCAGTACCTATGAATGTGACCTGATTTGGAAGTACGGGCATTGCAGATATAATTAGTAAAGGATCTAGAGATGCAAACATGCTGCATTTAGGGTGGACTCTAAATCCAGTGACAGATGTTCCTGTAAGAGGAGAGGACAGAAGACACATACACAAAGGAAAAGTCCCTGTGACCACAGAGGCGGAGATTGAAGTGATGTTTCTACCACAAGGGACACAGAGGGTTTCCCACAGCCACTGAAGCTGGGAAAGAGGTGTGGAACGGACTCTCCCTCGGAGCCCCCAGAAGGACCCAATCCTGGCCACGCCTTGATTTTGGACTTCTGGCCTCCTGAAAAATCAGTTTGTGGTAATTTGTTAGGCAGCTAGTGGAAACAGGCAATCTGAAAATGAATGGGCATGGCTGTGTTCCAGTAAAACTGACTTTGCAAAAATAGAAGGTGGGCCAGATTTGGCCATAGGGCTGTCGTTTCCTTCACTAAAACACTAAGAAAAATAAAATGAATAAAAAATATACATAAAATTGACTCAACTCATGAGGAAGAGTAGACAAAACAATTTTCAATTCTGGAAGAAATCTCCATTATCTAGAAGGCAATTGTAGTTTAATTCAGAAAAATGTATCCAGTCTCCTTTTTACCTCATCATATAAAACAGGGGCTCCTTGTGGGGGAAAATAAAAGATGCAATAAATAAACACCTACGCAATCTACTTTCTAACTCAGGGACAAGAGGCCTGGAAAACAGGAAACCTATCAGGCAGGGTGCATATATTTTCGTTAGAAAAAAGGAAAAACTAAGGATAAATTTCTTGTCCTTAATTATCCACTGCACTAAAAAAATCACTCTTAAAGCAGGTAAGGAAAGAAAGCCCCATGCAGGAGAGGGCAAAAGGAGCAGACTTTAGCATATTTGTCATCACTAAGGCAGCTTCCCGACTTATCAGTACAATTTCCTAAAGCATGTTAACTTCCCTTCTGTCCAATTTGAGAACTTGGACTATTCCATTATTAGGGGTAATTTGGGGAAAATGTCTCATATTAAATTTGGTCATATAGGATGCATTATATGATATATATGGTATATGATATAACTGCTCTGTGAGTTGGTGCTATAATTAGGCCCATTTCACAGATGAGGTAACTGAGGCAATAAGAAATAAAATCATTTCCCATGAGTAGCATGCGTTTAAGGTGGCAGAGCTGAGATTTGAACAAGGCAGGCTGGCTGCAGGCTTTCATAATACATGTGAACTCAGTAAGTCACAGTAACCTAACCTAGCTAAAAGCAAGGTGAGTCAGAAAAGATTTCACAAGTAGCCAGGCGCGGTGGCTCATGCCTGTAATCCCAGCACTTTGGGAGGCTGAGGCGGGTGGATCACGAGGTCAGGAGTTCAAGACCAGCCTCGCCAAAATGGTGAAACCCCCATCTCTACTAAAAATACAAAAATTAGCTGAGCATGGTGGCACATGCCTGTAATCCCAGCTACTTGGGAGGCTGAGGCAGAGAATTGCTTAAATCCGGGAGGCAGAGGTTGCAGTAAGCTGAGATCACACCACTGCACTCCAGCCTAGGTGACAGAACAAGATTCCATCAAAAAAAAAGAAAAGAAAAAAGAAAAGACTTCAGAAGCAATGACTAACAAGGAATTTGAAGGATGACTGCATAAAACAGGCACATGTTAAGGGAAGCTTAGGAACTGTTTCAGTCACAGCAAATTGCAGATGTGAGGACCCTGAGGTGGATCTGAAATCTATGGGGCTGGGTCCCAGAGTGTGGGAAGAGGCATGTGAAATCTTCTCTTCTAAACCCACCCCCCAGCTGTCTGACCTATGTCAGTTAGTGACATCTCCATCCTTCTACCTGCTCAAGAAAAATATTTTGGTGTCTTCCTTGACATCTTTTTTTTGCCACCCATAATCAGTCCTTTATCTTCAATATTACAAGCAACTGAGACTTCTCACTCCAGTGCCTCTACCTGTCCAGCATACCTTCTCTTCTTGCTTGCAATTACCTAAATTACCTCCCTTTTCCCTTGCCCCCTCTCAGCCAGTGTGCTCCCCTGAAATAGCAAGTAAGAACAGGCCCTCCTGTGTGCAAACCCTCATAAGCTTCCAAGTCTGCTCAGCCAGTGTGCTCTCCTGAAATAGCAAGTGAGAACAGACCACCCTCTGTGCAACCCCTCATAAGCTCCCAAGTCTGCACAGTGACCCACAAGGCCCCACTTGGCCTGGCCCTCCATTATCCCACACTCAGACCCCATCTCTTATTAGAGTGACCTCACTGTGTTGGCCTCCACATGGTCCTGAAGCAGCCAGGCTGGCCCTCACCCTAAGCCCTTCCCTCTGCCTGGATGCTCTTCCTATATCACCCCAGCAATTGCAAATCACCCCTCAGTTCAGCATGTGGTGAGTGTGTGCAGAGCTGTTCTGGATAACCAGGTCAGGAGGGATGCACATGGTTGGGGACTAAAGTCCCTTGACTTGTGCTTCCTTAGCAGGACTCTAATCCCACCTCCTCACCAGCTCCCAGGCTGGCTCTTCTGTCCATGCCTCTTTACCTCTGGCCCTCAGCATCAGGCACCTGGATGCCAGTACTTCCTTCCCATCTGGTGTCCTAGCAGCCACCCTCCTTTCCTCCACAGTCAGGGAGAATTGTGTACACTGCCATGCTTTAACACTTTCACTGGCTCCACTTCTTACTGCGTCCCACAGGTTCTGCCTTATCTAGCCCCTGCCTGCATGCACTGCCTAATGTCTTGCTCTTTCTGTTCTTCAATCCAAAGCTCCACCAAACTCAGCTTGTGTCCCCAAGGCATAGGAGCCTTGTTACATGCTGGCCCCTCAGTTCGCAAAACATTTTCCAGCATATCCGCTGGGCTGTCTCTGGCTTCTCCTTCGAAAGTCAGCTTGATTGCCACTCCCTCTAGGAAAGCTCATGATATTTTCCCACTCCCCCAGCTCCTCTGCTGATGAGACTTGCATCATTCAGAGTCCCCACTTCTATATTAACTCTTGCTGTCTGTACTCAGACCAAAATCTGGACATGTTCAATGGAGCATGAGTTCCTTCAAGATGCCATCTTTATTTCTGAATCCCCCATGCCCTGTGTGATGACATTCAGAGATGAAGGAGGAACCCAGTCATTGCTTGTTGTGTGAATGGATGGATGAGTAGGTGTGTCTGTCTCACTCACTAGTCTATGATGCCCATGGGGTTAGGATCAGTTGACCACGTGTTACATAAATGAACTAAAGATGGCCCTTTTATTTTTGGCCTCTGGATTGTATACTTCTTCACAGTAGGCTGGGACCATTAGCTCAAAAGCCCACTGGCACTCAACTCAAATTTTTACACATCTAATTGTTCTAATCATAGCCCAAATAAGCAGACTTTTATCCACTTAGAGCCTGCCTGCTTTGGATATCTACCAAAAGTGTGCCCCCTATCTGCTAGCCATTGATAAAATAAACTCTTTTGCTGTAAAAGACCCCAAGCATCTTCTGCTCTTCAAAGCTCTCTAACCCAAACTTCCCACTGTGCTGCTGAGAAACATCACCTGGAAACATAAGCCCCATCTTCCCTAGAATTTCCCTTGACCTCTTCATCTTCTAGGTAGGGCTCCTGAACCATGGCCTCTGGATGGTCTCGTGCCATGAGGGACTTGCCCTGCTGGCAAATCTGTCAAAGCGAAGCCTGAACAAATTCATTGTGCGCTACTGCCACCTTGTGGCCATATGGTTTTCCTTGATCAACTCTGAAATCCCTGGAACTCACTACACCTTATTAGAGTGAATCTCATGTACCCCATAAATAAATATGCCCACTATGTACCCACGAAAATTAAACATTAAAATTAAAAAGGAAATATGTAATGTTCAGCAATGAAAACCTGTTACCATCATTGCGCATGAACCAACGGACATCTTTTCCTTATCCCATTGTATACAGCGGACACTCAATCAATGCTGTGGAATGAATGGATAGATGGATTTGTCTCTCTTTATTACTTTATGTTCTCTATTAAGCCAGGATCTGTTGTCCTCATTAAGGTGCTCCCAATGAAAATCTTCTGTCCTCTTCACCCTGGAACCCCAGGCCAATTTCTCACTGGGCAATGGTTTATTATGAATCCTTAATTGGTGCTTTCTTCATTGAACAATATGAAGAGAAAACCACCTGCATTCAAGTGATCTCTGGATTTTTATCAGGGGTAAAGATCCTGATAAACAGAGATAGAACACCATTACCTGAATCAGACCAATTCAAAACCTTAAACACAGATTAGGACACAGAGATAGAACATGATTACCTGAATCAAACCAGCTCAAAATCCTAAACACAGGTTCTTAGACCCCTGTATCTCTGGCTGTACTAGAGCCTCATGGCAGTGACAGGAAGCCAGAGCCTCCCAGGTCACAGAGTTAAGTCCCTTGCTTGATAAAGGATTTAACTGAAGCTCAGAGGGCTTATGTGATGCAATCTGAGGTCAAGAGTGGGCTAATCAGAAAGCTGGGGTTAGAACCCCACTCTGAGCTGCTTTCTCAGACATAATCTCATATTTCTACCATTTTTTATGTTTTTCAAACATATTTTGATGCTTGTGTATCATTTATTCAGACAACATTTAGGAAGTATAAAGTTTGTACTGTGCACAAGCATGCACCGTTAATAAAGCTAAATTTCCTACTGTCGTCTTCAAGTATCCAGCTGCCATTTGAGCATTACTTCAAGCATTTGTTTACATCAACTTGTTTATTATTTTCGGATTTGATACATACAAAATAAAGCATACCAGATGTCACAAGAAAGCTTCTTCAAAATCAATATGAGATTTATTTAGATTTCTTGTTTTTCCTGCTTTCCCTGTGAGCCAAATGACTGCCAATCATTCCCAAATTTCTATTATCAAAAATGGAAGCTTGCTTTCTAGAATTTGGAAAAATAAAGTAATATTTGCTTTATGCCCCTGACATGAATCACCCCTCTAATTAGAGGAGAGTTGGAATGACTGCACACAATAGCATATGCAGTGATGTGTAGGTACAGTGACCTATTAATGCTTGTGACAATGTTCCCAGGCTGGGCTGTTTCCTATTGTATAGGGAGGCACTTTGTAACTTTGCATTTGCTCAATGGGGCTTTGTAAGCTGAAATTGGGTTAGGTATTATCTACAGCCACAAATGAACAGAGGTATCAGTGAGTGTCTGAAGGCCCTGGACAGAGAGTAAAAATGAAGTTTTTCTGTGCTGTAGAGCCTGATGGTGTGACCAGCCTCCAAGATAAATACCAGTAGAACAGCTGCCAGCCACAGTCACAGGCTCGAATCAATGAAGACAGAAAAAATCATTTCAGATGCCACATCCCTGCTTTGCCCTGTTCCCAACTGTGGACCTGCATAAACTACAATACAAGAAAGATTCATTAAAAATAGAAAAGTCTCCATGTGATTCTAACTGGAGTCACTCACAAAACTTCATGCTCTATTCTCTCAAGAACATGCTTTGATCTAGGGGATCTGTGCCCTTGAAGAAGCCTTTTTGGCTAATGCTGCTTTTGGCTCTGATCCACGGAGTTAATGAGGGTGAAGTCCATTTTCCTCTCTATGGACATTTCAACATCATGGCCAGAGGAGGTAATTACTTCTCCCTTCAAATTGAATTAAGAATTTTAAGAAGATGTCACTTTTGTCTTTGCATGAGAAAAATCAGCTTCCTCATTATCTTCCAACCCTGGGACACTTTCCAGTGGTGTCCGTGTTGGATTTCTTTATTTAAAGCCCCCCTACTGGACTAACACAAGAGAACCATCTGGCTGGATAGATTCCGAGAGGGGCTTTGGCAGGAAACAAGGACTTAAGATCTCTACAACATAGAGATCTTACACAATCTCCCATGATAGAGAAATACACTCAGAGGTATACATAGTAACACAAGAGTCACACAATAGCCAGGTATCTTGTTTTGCAGCTTTCAGAATTCAATTTAATGGGATAAGTCATTTAGGGTATGGGAAGAGAGGAGAATGAACTCACAGCAGCTTTTCTTCCTTTCACCTTATAATTTAAGTGTAAAGCTTACCTCAAGGTCTATTAAAAGAAATTTCTGTATCAGCTATTTTATTTCTATCCACAGAACAGCCCTCACATCATTAAAGGTCTTAAGTGTAACAGGTTGCCAATCACTGGGTGCTGGGAGGAGGACAGAAATAAATTAACAAACAGAATTTTCGGGAAGACATGGTCTTCTGTGGACCCCAGATAGTTAGCTGCTTAGAGCACCCAGGCATTTCAGGGAGAAACTAAATGGGTAGCTGAGCTTCAGAGGTCCCCAGGAAACTCAGATGTCCCCCAGAACTGTGCACTGACTGGAAGCCTTAATGTGCCTTCTGGCGACATAGTGCTTGTCACTGTACACCAGGGATGTACCTGTGAAAATCCATTCAGGGCCATATGGCACCATGAGTAAGTGGCCTTTTACTGGCATGGGAGACAGATCTGCCAATGATCCAAATTTTCTAAGCTTCACTTCCTACTCCCAAGTCTCGTGTGAGTGACATTCAAAAATTCAGGGAATCATGGACCCCAATCCCAGCATGCTAGTATTGAAAGGGAAATGGGAGTTTGATTAGGCCAAGTGAGTCCACTGTGATGTATAGAGACACAAATGCGTTGGTATCCAGTGTGCACATGTGTGTTCCCCAGTAATTGTTCCTGAAAAAGGCCCATAATATTATGGGGTACCATCACCATGACACTATGTTGAACAACAAAGTACAATGTAGGGAACGATACTTCAACCTAAATCAAGCTCCACTGGGACTGGATTTGGAAATTTATGATGCCAACTGAACCACATGGTAAAAAGAGACAAAGTCATTAAATGGAAACTTTATTATTATCCCTGAAGGTTTCACCTCAAAATGTCAAGCCTTGAGGATTTGCTGTGAACATGTGATTGCAATGTTCCATGAAAGTGTTGTCCAGCAATTTGTTGCATTACGGATATGTATCTACAGGTCCAAATAAACAATGGCAACTACCCTCATTGCACATCAGTGGATACCATGGTCACCATCACCTTCTCAGTAACATGTATCATGGGCTGTTGTTTCTCAAATGACTTTGATGTGAAAGTGAAACTCTTAGAACAACTGAGTTACATGAGTTCAAGAATAATGAGGAAGACATTGATGTCAAAGGTGCATATGAAGAATGTTAATTGATTCATAAAACATGTGAAAATATAAATGAGTACATTATTTTACATAATAGGTGGCTTTAAATACATCTATAGAGATAAAAGTATATAAAAATGTTTATTTGAATGTTGCATTTTTATCTAAAATGTATATATACTTAAATTGGCAATAAAACCTGAAAAATAATTTTATTGGAACACTGTGGCTGGTCACATTAGATTTGAGGTTGTCGTAGAGTTGGGATTTTGTTATAACCCATGTGCACCTGTTGGAGATTAGTCAACTGTTTGAGTGTTTTGGATGTCAGATGAAGGGGATGGGGAAGCTGGGAAGCACGGTGTGGGTCAAAGGTTGCACTTGTGACCCAGAGGTTGGATTTGGTCCTCAGAAATGGTCCCTTTGTTCCGTCTATTGCTTTAAAATGTTTGAAGATTTCACCTTAAGTTCAGGATATCTGTCTTTTCAATAAAATAATTGAGGATGTGGTAACAGGGTCCATATTCCCACATAGCTATGATCCACAGGAGGTGAGGAAACAGACACTGCATGCTTTCGATGAGACATGTGCTCTTCAGCTTGCCACAGTCCCCACCACTCTCTATTGTCTTACAGGGGTCAGCTTCCTCATATAGATTACCTGCTCCTGGCTGCTGTGCACATTTGTATTTGTGACTCCAGGCCTCATCATACTCTGAATTATATGCCAAAGAAGACTGAGTTCCTTAGGACCTATGGGCTTCTAAACCCACATCAGAATCTTGACCCTATAAACAGAAATTGGAGACTTTTAATTCATTTAATTAGAGACTCAGATCCGTGTTTACACCCATTGGTTTGTACAAGCTTCTTTAAAAATATTTTTGATTGCTTAAAATATATCCTTGTAATGAGAGCACAGAGTTCAGGTGACCATTCTCCTCAATTAATATTATACTATAATCACTGGTTCATAAAAAATGATGAGTTTATGTCCTTTGTAGGGACATGGATGAAGCTGGAAACCATCATTCTCAGCAAACTATCGCAAGGACAAAAAACCAAACACCGCATGTTTTCACTCATAGGTGGGAATTGAACAATGAGAACACTTGGACACAGGAAGGGGAACATCACACACCGGGGTCTGTTGTGGGGTGGGGGGAGGGGGGAGGGATAGCATTAGGAGATATACCTAATGTTAAATGACGAGTTACTTGGTGCAGCATACCAACATGGCACATGTATACGTATGTAACTAACCTGCACGTTGTGCACACGTACCCTAAAACTTAAAGTATAATAAAAAAAGGTCGCTTTTATCATTTCTTCTTTACTCTCATTCTCCAAATCCACTAGTATTCTTTTTCTGTTCATAGGCACCACCCTAATGTGTTTGATATCAGTCTAGAAAAAAAACATTTATCCTTGCAAATTGCATTGTGATATTTTGTGAATAGGTATTTTTCATCTGAGTATACCTCACTATGCTCTAGTTTTCATTCTGTTTCTCATCTCATTCTCTCAACACAGATTTTTCACCTATCCATGTTGTGGATACTTTTCTGTAAAAGTCTTCAGGCAGCTCGCTTATACTTGGAAACAAACTGATAGCTATCTGAAAGGCCATCTTCACAATTTTTTCCTGAATCCTGAATAAACAAGAGTAACAGATGAAATGTAGGCTTAGACTAACAACTGGGAGCTCACTTTGCATCCGTTCTGAATTCAGTTTTCTTTGGTCACTAAGGTCAGCTCAGAAAGACTATCCCTTCCCTCCAATTCCAAAGGGTGCTCTCTATTCAAACACTCCCTGAGTTTAAATACTCTGGGTGGAACATGTGTTCTCTCTCCAAGGCACAGTTTTCATTCATTGTGTGTCTGTTGCCAGGAATGACTTTGCTTCTCTCTTGATGCAAACATCCTTCAAGGCCCAATTTCAAATTTCCCTTCCGCAGACACTCAGGTTAATCTCATGTCGTCTGGAAACCTTAAGACCCCACCCCTAAGAACCTGCAGGATTCCATATACATCTCATCGCCTGTATCTACCTTGGACAGCAGCTGTTTCTATGCTGTGTCTCCGGGGCAGGAGCTACAGTCCTGCTCAACTCTGACCCTCTTTGCCTGATAAAGACATACCTGAAGATGCTTAGGAAAATTTTACTAAATGTAAATATCATGTTTGTCAGATGGAAACTTGGGGGCAATTTGCACAGTGCTCGCTCCCACCCTGGTTCCCAAACTTTTCTACAGCAATATTATGATGTCTCAATAAACCATGTTATATCCAGACAACAGAATCTTATTCAACACTAAAAAGAAATGAACTATCAAGCAGTGAAAAGACATGAAGGAAACTGAAGTGCATATTACTACATGAAAAGCTAATCTCTGCATACCTTATGATTCCAACTACATGACATTCTGGAAAAGTCAAAATTATGGAGACAAACGATCAGTGGTTGGCAGGGGGTATGGATAAGGAAAGGATAAATAGAGGGGCACAGAGGATTTTTAGGGCAATGACACTGCTATGTAGTATGTTATGATGATGGATACATGTCATTATACGTTTGCCCAAACCCATAGATTCTACACCACCACGAATGAACCTTAATGTAAATTGTGAACTTTGAGTGATAATGATGTGTCAATTACCACAGTCCCCACCACTCCCTATTGTATTACAAGGGTCAGCTTTAAGTTAAATGAGTTTTGTTTATAGAGTCAAAGTTCTGACATGTGTTTAGAAGCCCATAGGCCCTTCGATGGGCTACAGTTCATCGTAACAAATGTGTCACTCTGGTGAGGGATGTTGATATTGGGGAAGGCTGTCCGTGTGTGGGAATGGGGGTAAACAGAGTCTCCGTACTCTCCTCTCAATTTTGCTGTGAATCTAAAGTTGATTTTAAAATAGTCTTTAAAAACTATGGTGTCTTTGTGTAATATTAAACACACACAGGAATACATGTATGTGTGCATTCAATCGGCCTTGGCAAGTTTATCTGTTTACAAAAGTATGTTTGATCACTTGAACAGTGAAGCCTGATAACTTGGAATCAGAGTTTTAAAAAAAGTTATGGCGCATCTATTTTCTCTATAACGGGATTACAAAGGAAATATAATCTAACACCAGGAGTAAACCCTGAGAATAGCAACATGACTGGACCCTGAGTCCTCAAAGCAGTTTGCCTTACAATTGAGAGCAACTATTTTATCTGTGCCTAAGAATACAAAAGTGGGACAAGCTATAGGAGATCAATTTTAAATCATCTGAAGCTACGGAAAGACATTTTCTGAGGCTTCTTTTGAAACTGGATAACATATGATTCTGCCATAGCCTTTTGATAACAAGAGACAGAGGTCACCTGCCTCTTTAACTCTCTCCCTGATCTTATGTTTTCTACAAATGTTAACAATTAAGCCAATTACAGGCAATTTAAGTTATTTTATTTAAGAAAATACAATATGGTTATGAGTTACAGTTGTTTCTTATGTATGTGTTGCCTTTAAAATTTACAAAATAATTTAAAAATTGTGTCTTATTCATTAGCTCACACTGCTGCTGAAAAAATAATTTCCTATTTTTCTGCTTTGTACAAGATCCTATTATTGGAAACTTTACATGTAAAAAGAAATTCTTTCTTAGGAAAAGTGGAGGGAGGGGGGCAATATCAACAATTATATGTGACATATTCATTTGTCATAATACCCTTGAGAGATGGCTAAATCACACCCCTTACAGTGAAGGAAACTGACCACGTCAGGTTAACCAACACCTTCCTGAAACAGCCTCCTGCTCTGCTGACTGGCCGCATCAGGCCTGGGTGCCCTCTGTGCCTGGCCACAGCTGTCCCCTGGGCACTCTCTTCGCCACCACCTGGGGTATCCCTGCACTTGCTTCTGGGCTAGACCCCCCATTTCCTATACCTCATGTCCTGCTCTTTCTTGCTTTACTTCCTCACTTCGGTAGATAACTTTGTCCTGTAGCTTCTTTAGAAAGAGTACGGGGTAGATTGTTGTTTGAGACATAATCTGGACCACATCTATGTGACACTTTAAAACCAAGTAACCCACCCCCATTTCAGTGTGCACATTAGTGCTGGTGATCGTGACTGTGTTGGCATAGTGTGAATATTTTAAGGGACTCAGCGCTGAGGTTTTCCTGTGGCTTTGCTCAAGCTAAGGGACTTTGAACACGTGAGGGCTGAAACTATGCGCATGCTGCACTGTTCATTCTGCACTAATGAAGCCAAGAGGAGTTGCCCAGACAGCAAGTGTGTCAGGGACCACCCACCATGAGACAGATGGGGAGGGTCAGGGTCTGCAGTGGGATACCACCAGACTGCTCATTATTCCACATCGGAAATCCCATCTGTGCAAACACATTTGAGGATAAAAACCAAGTAGCAGGATTATCCACGAGACCTTATGAAGCTGGTTTAGCACAAGAAAAATCATTTGCAGTCTGGGGAAATAAATTAGAATATGCAAAGCTTATAAGTACAATACCATTAACTTAGAAGATAAAAAGGTGCACAATTTGACGAAGCCAAACATGAATGCCACCTCAGATTCCCCACTGCCACCTCTTTCCTCTCAGCACAGTTAATCATTTTTATTGTGATTGCCATAGTTTAGGAAAAAGAAAATAATCTATGTTTATAATGGAAAATTATTTGCATATATCATGTTTGCTATTCACTGCACTGTTCACCCTTAGCAGGAGTTGATTCCAACAGCTGTGTATGAATCTCTTTAAGATAATCTGATACATATGCATTTCTTTTGCTGATGGAAAAGTCCTTTCTCCTAAAGAGAAATCTCAGACTATTAGATAAATATTTTATTCTAATGCTGATCAGTCTTCTCTATAAAGTCATCTCCCTTCTCACTCCCCCATGCAAAAGCAAGCTAATGTTTTCCTGCAAAAGAATTGAAAATGCCTGTTTATTTTCACGATTTTCACTCCAGGATACTGGAATATATTTATCAATACAAAATAAATTACATGAGCCAGGAGTTCAGCTATGGAGACGCCCTCTCTCTTACCAGTCTTGCCTCTTACCAGCCTAAATGAATAAGACACATTTAGTCCTTGAAGACATACTCAATTCATACTCCATTCATAATTTTAACCCAACATTTCTGCATTTTTTAGGGTCAGCAGCCAAGTGTGATATCCACGAATCTATTTGGGCTTTGGCAGACTTACCTTCATGGATCTGAATTTTGTCAGGAAAAGTGAACTAGAGGTTAAATCAGCGTAATTATAAATACTCTCTGCTTGCAGCAAAATGTAAAAAATGTTCCAATTTCTCCCTCATCCATTGTTATGGGCCTGGAGAAGCACCATGCAAATTTCATAGATAAGAAAATGTTTTCCCCTAAAGCTCCAGAAAGAATGTGGCTCATGACATTCGAGATTTGATTTGAGGCTTCTTTCCCCTCATGTATATTCTGAGAAAATAATACTCACAGTAATGATATTCCCAGTAACTCATGCAAATTCATCAGTATTTATGGGATAGTTCCAAGATACAGAGCACCAAAGGAAATAGCACAATTTCTTCCAATATTTTCCTCTTAAAATATATGGGGTCGACATCTGCATTTTTGAAATCTTCTTTAAAAATTGAACTGTAACAGGACTTCAGAAAAGCATATAAGTCAGATGTATGTAGTTTGATAATTCCAAAGTGAATAAACATATACAACCTTCTCCTGCATCAAGAGATAAAACATCAGCCAGGCATGATGGCTCATGCCTGTAATCCCAGCACTTTGGGAGGCCAAGGCGGGCAGATCACGAGGTCAGGAGATCGAGACGATCCTGGCTAACACGGTGAAACCCCGTCTCCACTAAAAATACAAAAAAATTAGCCGGGCATGGTGGCGGGTGCCTGTAGTCTCAGCTACTCAGGAGGCTGAGGAGGGAGAATGGCGTGAACCCACAAGGCAGAGCTTGCAGTGAGCTGAGATCGCGCCACTGCACTCCAGCCTGGGCGACAGAGTGAGACTCCATCACAAAAGAAAAAAGAAAAAGAGAGAGAGAGAGAAAGAAACCATCACGGTGGCCCCCAAATCCTCCATAAAGCACCTTCTATCACTTCCCACCCTCACGCCCCCAGGCCCCCATACCCTCATATGCAGACCAGCGTTGTCTGTTTTGAGCTTCACAGTGATGGAAACATAGCAGGATGTATTCACTTGCTGCTCAGCTTCTCTCATTCGGGATTCAGTTAGTAAGATGTACCTGTTGTTTGTATCAGCGGCACATTCATTTTCATTTCATACAGTATATTTGGTAGGAATATGCCAAAATGTATTTGCTCGTTCTACTGATGATGAGTATTTGGGTTGTGTCAGATTGGCAGCTATTTTAATAATGGTGCTAGTAACATTCATGTACATGTATTTTGGTGCACATGTGAAATTGCTGGGCTGGAGGGCTTGGCTATATTCAGTAGATAATGCCAACTCATTTTCCACAGCAGTTTCACTAGTTTTCATACCCACCCACAGTATATGATAATTCCAATTACTCAAAATCCTCATCCATAGGAGATATTTGTCAGACTTTTGAATGTTTAGCCATTTTGGTGTCTACATAAGTAATCATATTGTGGTTGTAATGTGTACTTCTATGACTAATGAGTTTGAAAGTATTTTGGTGTATTTATTGATTCTTTGGACATTAGCCACCCACTCCTCAATTTTTTTAAGTGACTTTTAAAGAAATTTTGCAGGCTGGGCGCAGTGGCTCATACCTGTAATCTCAGCACTTTGAGAGGCCAAGGTGGGTGGATCACCTGAGGTTGGGATCAGCCTGACCAATATGGAGAAACCCCATCTCTACTAAAAATACAAAAATTAGCCAGATGTGGTGGCACGTGGCTGTAGTCCCAACTACTTGGGAGGCTGAGGCAGGAGGATCGCTTGAACCCAGGAGGCGAAGGTTGCAGTGAGCCAAGATCACACCACTGCACTCCACTCCAGCCTGGGTGACAGAGCAAGACTCCAACTCAAAAAAATAAAAAAAAGAAAGAAATTTTGCCATTGTTCTAATGTGTTTAAATGTCCTTTGCTTATGTGAAGAACATTACGGATTTCTAGAATTCTTTATACTTCCTAGAGATGTGCCTTTTGTTGATTTTATATGTAAAAACATTTTCTGCCATTCTGTGGTTTGCCTTTCTATGTTCTCAATGTGGCATTCTGATGAATAGAAGTTCCTAGTTTTAATGTAGTTTAATTTATCAATGTTTGATTGTGTCTATTGCTTGTTACGTCTTGTTTAAAAAATCTTTGCTTACCCAAACATGTTTTCTTCTAGAAGTCCAGTGTCTTGCCTTCTGTAGAGAGCTCTAAAATTCACATGGAACTGGTTTTTTATGTAGTGTGAGACAATGGTCATAATTATTATTTTTTCAGTATAATATACCAATGAACCCAGCACTATTTACCAAAAAGAGCCCTTTCTCCGCCTCAATGCAGAGTCATCTTTGACATAAGTCAGGTTTCTATATATAGGCAGATCTGTTTCTGGGTGTGCTCTTGTGATCCATTGGCCTATTTCTCTACTTTTGCACCCATACCATGCTGAGGCAATTATGACAGCATTGTATTATTTCTGATAATGCACTGTTTCCAATGCACTCCTCTTCTTAAAGATTTTCTTGGCTATTCCTAGCCCTTTGCATTTGTGAAGTTTAGAATAAATTTGTCAAATATCTTCTGAGATTTTGACTGGAGTTTTATGGAAACTATATTAAGATGCTTACATTAGGATGTCTATTCCACGACTGTGGTATAACCAGTTATGCATACATTATTTAATTCATCTGAGTAATGCATAATAGTTTACATTGTAGGAGTCTTGAATATCTTTCATTAGATTTAGTCTTCACATTGTATCTTTTCACCATATTGTAAATTGCAAGATTTAATGTATTTTCTGAGTGTCTGTTACTGGAACATAAAAAATGGTTGATGTTTTATAATGATATTAGATTCACACTTTCTAAATTTACTCATTAATTTTTAAAATTATCTCTATATTTTAATAATGTCTGTATATATGGTTATACTATGCATATAATGGCAGTTTCATTTCTTCTTTCCCAGTCCTTAATTGTTTTGTTTCCTTTTGTTCTGTTAGCAGATTGGCTAGGGCTTCAGTACAATGTGTAACAGAATTGGTGATATTGGACGACTATGTCTCATTTCTGGACAAAGGTCGCTTTCAACATTTTGCCATTAGGTATAATATGTGCTATAGCTCACTCATTGTGACTATTCTGCAACAGGCTAATATGCTTCCCTGGTGGTTATAATTTTACACGTTTATTTTTTGCATTATGGTCAATGTAGAATTTTGTTAGATGCTTTTTCTGCAGCTAATGAAATAACTGTAGAATTTTGAACGTGTACGTGCTGACAATTTTGTTTTTTTAATATATTAGAAAACATTTTATGAATATTATCAATTAGCCATAAACATTTTCCTTCAAAAACCTCAGCCAGGCACGGTGGCTCACACCTGTAACCCTAGCACTTTGGGAGGCCCTACAGGGAGAATTGCTTGGGCTCAGGAGCTCGAGACCAGCCTGGGCAAAATGACAAAACCATGTCTCTAGTAAAATTACAAAAATTAATCAGGCGTGGTGGTGCGTGCCTGTAATCCCAGCTACTCAAGAGGCTGAGGTGGGAGGATCACCCGAGCCTGGGAGGTCTAGGTTGTGGTGAGCCGCGATTGTGCCACTGCACTCCAGCCTGGGTGACAGAATGAGACCCTATGTCAAAAATAAAAACAAAAAAACCTCTTCACATTGAAGTATTTTTTATGAAAACGTGAAATCTTCCCTTTTCTCACAATTTTACCCCCACAGGTACATACTGTTAATTTTTGGTGCAGAATCTTCCAGAATTTTTCCTATAGAAAACAAATTTTAATATTATTATATAACGTACTCTTTTCTTAGCATATTTCTCCTTGGGGGTAAGGCATTACACTAGCTAAAACTATATTTGATCACCTCGTGAAAAATGAAACAGTTTTAGTTTGCATTTTTCCTGATCGAGTAAGGAGAAAAGTTATGTAAATATCCGGTAAAAAACCAGGTGAGCTCTCAAATAAACTCATCAAATCAGCTCAATTAATACAAGTCAGCTGAATTTGGTAGACTCAGTGATATGTTTTTAGGGTCTAAATTGAAAATGATCAGTAATTTTTAAAAAACACATCATATTCATTGGATTGGCCAGAGCTGTGCTGCCGCATGGAAGAAAGAGCACGGGCTTTGGAACCGCGGACTTATTCATTCTTCCGATTGCTACATGGGGCCACGAACCACATGTCAGCATCTTGGGTGCTGGGGAGAGAGGTGATAAGACAAATGTGTCTCCTGCCTTCACAGGGGGTAATGAAATACTGTCTTAAGCATTGCTAGAATGATCTGGGAGCACACAGCAAAGGGACATGAATATTCAAGAAGTTGAGGAAGGACCTGGAAGTGATTTCTTCTCAGGTGGGACTGGGTGGAAAGTGAAGAGGCAGGTGCTCAGAACCAAGAGGAAGCAAGGACGTGGGCTTTAGATTTCAGGAAAGAAGATGGCCTTGGACTAATGGAATCTTTAGCCATAATGGGGAGAAGTCATGAAGATTCATGTGGCCAAGTTTGGACTTTATCTCATGGACAACAGAAGGCATCTCAGAAGGTCTTAGGCAGGGCAGTAACACAGCCAGATTCCTGTTTGAGAGCACTCCTGTTCCTTTCGTTGTGGAACGAAGACCCACTGGAAGGGGACCTGCTATGCAGATATTGTAATACACATGGTGAGACATAATGAAGCCTAGGTTCATGTTAGGGCAGCAGGCATCAAGTTCAGAGAATCAGGAAGTCTCTAGGAGAGAGGCTTCATTGGACTTTGTGATGATAAAGAAGTTGAGAGAGAGGGAAAATCAGAGACAGTATCCATATCATTCTCATGAGGAACTGGGTGTGTGCAGGACCCAGGAGCTGGCCTGGGGTCAGGAAACCTGGCTTGGACAGAGCCTTTGATCAAGGGGACAGGGCAGTGAGAGGAGCAGCCTTTATGAAGCTCTCACTGGTTCCCAAGTCAGTAATAAAAATTCTAACTAGTACTCGTAAAGCAAGCAGTATCCACCATCCATTCCCTTAAGTGCTTAACCAAAGCAAACTCAGGCATTCCTCACCACGATCCAGGGAGGTAGGGACACATTTCTGCTGATTACAGATAAAATAGCTGAGGCACAGAATGGTTATGAGAGACCTCAAGGCCCCCAGTAAAAAACTGCAAGGCTATGTCTTAACCCACAACATCTGACTCTTCACTGCTAAGCTGAGCATAGAACATTTACAACAGGCTGCATAACCTCTCTGTGCTCCACCGCCTCTGCGGCAAGGGAGAGTCAGAGCCTGCCATGGAAGATGTATGAGTAGCGTGAGTCTAGCAGTGACCCTGGCCTGAGAGTTCCCCTGAGCATTAAGGGAGCTCGCAGCCAGAGCAAGGCCTGACCAAGGGTGAGGGCTCAGGGAACAAAACCACATTCCTACTGCTGCTATCATCATCCACCTCATCTTGGAGCAAACACACCCAGTACCCACAGAGCATGACAAGAGCTCCTGTAAACAGCTGTCCCAGCAGGAAGGCTGCTGGCTCCCCCATATCTGGATGAGATCCAGGCAGGCTTCCCCACATGCCCTGGGACCTTGGGGATGTGGTTGCATCTCTCTGGGCCTCAGCTTCATCATCTGTAAACTAGGGTAATAAAGAGTTGCTCCTGCTCAGGGCTGAAAGGTTTAAGTGTGTTTCTTACCTAATGCCTAGAGCAGCCTGCTGTTGGGGCTCAATTAGCATGAGTCCCTGTGGACATCACCTGGGGCAGCAGGTGGGCAGGTGAAACATACAGAAATGCAGAATGGGGCAGGACACCGAAGGTTACCAAGGCCTCCCTCTGATAAGGGGTGAGAGGAGCTAATAGTGCAGAACCTTGTAGTCTACAGCTAGGCTGTGGCTTTACTTGAAAAGATATGCAATCACTGGAGAGTTGTGAATGGCGGGGAGGTGATTGGTCTGACTACTATTTAAATGTTTTCAACTTAATGTCATGCTCTGTGGGTACCGGGTGTGCTCGCTCCAAGACCAGGTAGATGATGATAATAGCAGCAGGAATGTGGCTTTGTTCCCTGAGCCCCTCACCCTTGGTCAGGCCTTGTTCTGGCTGTGAGCTCCTTTAATGCTCAGGGGAACTGAACCCATACCCATCTCCTGAAATCATACATAAACTTCAAATAGAGACAATAATGGGGTTATAATTATGCCTAACATAATACAGCTATCCTTCGTACAACCTTAAGTGCACCAATCCTTAATCTAAATGCCATTACATAAAGTTAACAATACTTAAATGCTGACTTGGAGTTAATAAATCTTATGTCACATAATAAAGGGAAAAGAAAGGAAATAAAAAATGAAGATATTTTCTTAGTGCACGTGTATACATGCACAAACATGTTCTTAACAAAATAAGAAGGAAATATACAGTCCTCGTTTCTGCAACTGGTCACATGGTCATAGTTGGTATTGATAACTACCTTACTCTACTACCCAATGTGTATTCCCTTTGCCTTCAGCAAGCACCTCAACAGGTCATTGTTTTTTTTGTTTTTTTGCCTGGTGGAGTGACCCACACCTTCATTCCTGAAGGGTCTAGGCCATATGTAGTCCTGCCTGGATTGGGCTCTTGCAGTTTCCCGTTGACCTTAATCACAGAGCATGGTAATACTAAGAGACACCTTAACGGATCTCCTGTATTCCATTCATACTCTTCCTTACCTCCATTGTGGAGTAGTAGACTGATTTCATCTCAATAGTCTGGGTCAATCATCCCTGCCAACACTGTAACTTCCTTAGCCTGTTGACTTAGGAGTAGGAGGGGCCTAAGGTGGCCAGGTGGCAATCTTAACTTCCAGTTTAATGGAATCATTGTGTCTCCTGGTGGCAGCATTCTTCCCTCTGGAACTAAGACCTCTAGGCCAGCAGAACGTAATGTCGTGGGAAAAAGGAAACAAGAATTTTGCTGGTGGGTCACTAGGGGTGATAGTAATAGGTGCCACTTCCACTTCCATCCCTTGGCTCCTAGAACCATCAACCCTGGCTATGGGATATACAGGACCATATGTTGGACACTGATTCAGACATACACAGCCTTCTGGAGAACATTGCTCCAGCCCTGCAAAGTATTGTCACCTAGTTGGTGTTGTAATTGTGACTTCAAAAGGCCATTGCACCATTTTATCAATCCAGCTGCTTCAGGATGATGGGGAACATGGTAAGACCAGTGAATCCCATGAGCATGAGCCCACTGCTACACTTCTTTGGCCATAAAGTGAGTGCCTTGGTCAGAGGCAATGCTGTGTGGAATACCATGATAGTGAATACGGCATTCCGTGAGTCCGCGGATGGTAGTCTTGGCAGAAGCATTGCATGCAGGATAGGCAAACCCATATCCGGAGTAAGTATCTATTCCAGTGAGGACAAACTGCTGCTCTTTCCATGATGGAAGAGCAGCCACCAAGTAGCTGGTTGATCACCCTGAGGAATGGTGCCATATCAAGGGCTCAGTGTGGGTCTCTGCTGCTGGCAAATTGGTCACTCAGCGTTGGCCATAAACTGGTCAGCCTTGGTGAGTGGAAGTCGATGTTGCTGAGCCCATACATAACCTCCATCCCTGCCACCATGGCCACCTTGTTCATGGGCCCATTGGGCAATGACAGGGGTGGCTGGGGAAAGAGGCTGAGTGGTGTCCACAGAACAAGCCATCCTATCCACTTGATTATTAAAATCCTCCTTTGCTGAGGTCACCCATTGGTGAGCACTTACATGGGATACAAATATCTTCACAGTTTTTGACCATTCAGAGAGGTCCACCACATACCCCTTTTCCAAATTTCTTTGTTACCAATTGTCCAATCATGCTTCTTCCAAGTCCCTGACCATCCAGCCGAATCACTGGCTACAGCCCATAAATCAGTATATAACCACATATTTGGCCACTTCTCCTTCCAAGCAAAGTGCACAACCAGGTGCACTGTTCAAAGTTCTGTCCACTGGGAAGATTTTCCTTTGTCACTGTCCTTCAAAGGTGTCCTAGAAAGGGGCTGTTAGTGCTGCAGCTGTTCATTTTCAGGTGGTACCTGCATATCAGGCGGAACCATCTGTACAGAAGACCCTAGTCGTCTCTTCCTCTGTCAACTGAGCATAGGAAACTCCCCACGAGGCCATCGGTGCCAGCTGGGGGAGAGAAGGCCAGGTGGCAGAAGTGAAGACCATGAGCATTTGAGTCCCTTCCTCATGTAACTTACTTGTGCCTTCAGGACCTGCTCGAGCCTGATCACGTATATACCACTTCCATCATCACCCCTTCATTGTGCACACTCTTGCAACTACAGCCTTGGGCCTCACTGACATGTTGTGTCACTATTGGCTTGATTTGTCTTTTCCAGAATTTCACATAAAGAATCATACAGTCATGGCCCACATAATAATGTCATACACAAAGATGGTCCCATAAGATTATAATACCGTGGTTTTACTGTGCATTTTCTATGTTTAGCCTTACAAATATCTACCATTGTGTTACATTTGTCTATAGTATTCAGTACAGCAATATCCTGTGTAGGTTTGTTGCCTGGGAGCAATAGGCGACACCATACAGTCTAGGTGAGTAGTAGGCTCTACCTTCTAGGTTCATATAAGTCCACTCTATAATGTTTGCACACTGACAAAACTGCCTAACAACAAATTTTCTAAAAAAACATAAAACAAAAAACATGTCCCTGTTATGAAGGACAATGACTGCAGTATGTATTCTTTTGTGTCTGGCTTATGTTACTAAGCAAAACGTTTTTTAAGATTTATCCGTATTATTGTATATATAAGAATAGTTTGTTTTTTGTTTTTGTTTTTGTTTTTGTTTGGTGGGGGGCTGTTTCTAGACTATCATTTATTAAAAACAAAACAGGGTATTTGTACACAAGTCTTTGTAAGCACATATATTTTTATCTTTATTGGATAAATACCTAAAGGCATGATTTCTGAATCATATTGGATGAGAATGCTTACGTTTTTAAGAAACATGCAAACTATTTCCCAGAGTGATTGTTCTCTTGCTGTATTGATTGCACCAGCAAAGCAGGAGGATCCCAGTTACTCCACGTCTCTGCCAACTCCCTGTCTCACCAGGATTTTTAATTGCAGCCATTGTGATGACTCATAGAGTTTCATAATTGTGATTTATTTTACATTTCCTTGATGACTAATGATGTTCACCACCTTTTCATGTGTTTATTGACTCTTAAGCTTAACAATTACGTTAAATTGAAAAAAAGGGTGTGGTAGACACGCATCAAAGCCCTTACCCTCTCCTTAACCCGAATTTACAGGCTAGAGGCTGCTAACATTAAATACCCCATTCCCAGATTCATCTGCCACTAGGGTGCCCCATGAGACATAAATGGAAATTGCTGAGGGAAAATAACACAGCTTTTGAGAAAGCTTTCGTGTCTTTTGTAAATTGGAGAAGTTGCGGCTGTTGCTGACTCCTCTTCCACCTCCTTCCTGTCTTTACTGTGCACATGACTGCTGGAGCTGCAGCCACCATTTTAAGACCAAAAGGAAAAAGTGACTTGGGTTGTAAGAATTGAGGTCCTGATTTTGTTGAGTCACTAAACCAATTATGGAAAACACCCACCTCCAGGTTTTTGTTTGTTTGTTATGTGAGAAACACAAACCCTATTGGTCTGAGCCACTGTTACTTAACTGTTCTGTTACTTGCAGCTAAAAGTATCCCTAACTGATGCTAAGTATCTCTTGGGGAAAGCAATGAAGTTGCAAACAAATGGTAATCTTAACGGTAACATGAATATGACTAAAAGTGCTTTTTAATTTGTTTCATAATTCAACATATTTATTGAGCATCTGCTATGTGGCATATTCCATTCTCAGTGATGAAGATTCATCAATGGACACAGTGGAAAAAGGCCCTTCTCTTCTGGAGTTCCTGTTATTAAAATAGAGAAAAAAAAGCATAGGTTGACAAAAAGGATCACTTTAGGTATCAATGAGTGCATTGAGGAAACTGAAGCAGGAGACACGATAGTGAGAGAGGGTTATGCAGGACCCTCCTAAGTGTCCTTGTGAGGAGGTCATGAGAGTGACTTTGATGGAGTGTTCAGACAAATATTCTTTGAGAGGTCACATTTTATCTAATACCTGAATGATGAGAAGGATTCGGGCATGTGAAGATCTTGAAAAATATTGCAGTTAGAGTAACCACTGGAGACCAAGTGTGGTGAGTAGCAGCCAGACTAGAGGAACAGGAGCTGGGTGAGTGAAGGGTGAGTGGGAGGGGTGAGGCCAGAGTGCGGACAGGACAGAGGCTGCATCCTGCAAAGCTTGCAAAGGCCATGATGAGGAGTTTGGATTAGACTCTTAAATCAGGAGTCCATTCATTCTGGAAAGTAGTTCCTCACTAAAATTGGTCTTTTCATCCTCAACCTGTAGAGACCCTTTACTGTATAGTGATCAGGTTTTACAGAACCCATGGTTGTAAGTCATCAGTAGTCACCTCGAGTCAATAGAGCTTCAGACCCCTCTGGTTCTGGTCAATCTAACCCCAGAGATCTGCAGCACGTCCCAGTATGAAAAGAAATGTCTCTATTAAAAACCACCCAGCATTTGGTTTCTGCCACACAGGTATTAGTTAATAAAACACAGAGATTAAGAGCTCAGGAAGTAAACTTTGTTCCCATCTTGACTGTCTATTCACATCTTAACTGCATAATCCTGGGTAAATTTCTCAGACTCTCTGAACTTCAATGATCTCATCTATATAATATTGATAATAAAGGGATTTGTCTCACAGACGTGAGGATTCAGTGATAATGTAGACAAACACTCTAACTAGTGCCTAGGATGCATGAGGAACAAGAATAGTAGCTACTTTCCTTGTCATATCATCAAATACCATTGTCTTGAGTAGGAAAAAGGACAAAGCTGGCAAAAGAGCTCATCTGCAGTTCAAAGAGACACTTGTAATTTCAGCCCCTTACTCTGCCTGAAACCCCATGCTGGTCAGGTATTAATCATTAGCTTACCTCTAGCTATCCAGAGACATTTCCACTCCAAACTGACTAGGCTAAAGAAGTCAATAATTAATTCATAGATAATTTATTACAGAAATATATTTTTGAAAAAAGCAGGATACAATTTAAGTACGTTTCACTGAAGCTACATCTGAAATCACATTGCACTTCTTTTCTTAAACATTTTTCATCATCTGAATTACCTTTCAGGGCTAAGACTAGGGTGAGCCAGGTGAGTCTCACCCACAGCTCAAACCTTAAGGAGGTTCTCACAGTCAGATGCCATCTTTGCACTTGCAGGAGCCTGAGAACTAGTGCCATCTTAAATCTTGTCCCCTGGGTGACTTGCCTTCTGATATGGTTTGGCTGTGTGCCCATCCAAATCTCATCTTGAATTGTACTCCCATAATTCCCACGTGTTGTGGGAGGGACCCATTGAGAGGTAATTGAATCATGGGGGCGGTTTCCCTCATACCATTCTCGTGGTAGTGAATAAGTCTCATGAGATCTGATGGTTTTATCAGGGGTTTCCGCTTTTGCATCTTCCTCATTCTCTCTTTGCCTGCTGCCATCCGTATAAGACAGGACTTGCTCTTCCTTGCCTTCTGCCATGATTGTGAGGCTGCCCCAGCCATGTGGAACTGTAAGTCCAATTAAACCTCTTTCTTTTGCAAATTGCCCAGTCTCAGGTGTGTCTTTATCAGCAGCATGAAAATGGACTAATACACCTGCCTTTTTCTAGTCTGGACCCTGCCACCCTTCTTTGAGTTACAGCTGCCCTATTATCACTCTCAGGCAAATTGCTTGAGCCTGCATTACTGCAAAGGCTGGGATAACAACAGGAGAGGTAAAAGGGGTGCCCATTATTTCCTTATCTCTGACCAAGACTGGAGGCTGATTCTGTCTTCACCTGCTACTAATCTCTAGGCCGCTTCATAGAGATTTTCTCCAATCCCCACAGAGCCAATTTCCTGACAATGACACTAGTAACAGTGGCTAATATGCACTTCATAAAATTGCAGAGTGGATCCCAAGCTGTAAAGATATCATATTCTTTCTTTGTCTTACAGAATAGTTTAAGCTGTGAATCAACCAGGACCCTTAGGGTTCAACAGCGTTCCTGGTGGAAAGTGCCCTTGTGGAATGCAGAATCACTTACATATTTTTGACAACTTGCAACTGACTCCACTGGGGTCAGAGAATGTCCTTGATATTTATGTTCTTAGACATGGAATAATCATGCCGATAGGATTAGGAATGAGTCCTAATATATGACCCCTTACTATGTGCCAGACATTGGGCATTTTCACCTTTAATCATGGCCTCCGCCCTGTACGGAGATGCTATTATCATTCCCCTATTACCAATGTAACAGCAGCTAGCTGCACTCTGTGCTGTGCATTCTTCTAATTACTTTTTGTCTTTGAATTTATGTGATCTTCATCGTATTCCCGGAAGGTGGGCTCTTGTCATTCCCATTTCACAGATGGGAGATTCATGCCTGCCCATTGTCCAAAAAACAGAATGTAGAAAAGCCAGGGATCTCCATTAAAGACCCTTGCTTCATCTATGTTGTAAGCAGCTTCATATGATCTAAAATGCTTTAAGATTCCCTTCTAAGTTACTCAGAAATCAGAGTTTAATAAACAACAAAAATGTAAACATGAAGGCTTTGGAATTTTACAAATCCTATAGCAGAACTATTATTTTTCTAACTGGGAGGCTCGTAGATGTTACCTGGAATGGGAAAGATATTGTGCTGATCTTCAAAGAGCTACACCATCAGTCATAGTGTAGCATGAATGTGCAGTCAGGCAGACGTGGAGCTGCATAGGGACTGCAACTCAGTGTTGGAATCAATACTTACACATAACACGGTGAAGATTTGCACATAAGCCAAGAGGCAGAATTAATACTCATAGGGATTTCTTTTCCTGTATGACTATTTTTCACAAACTATGAAGACCCCAAGGATCCTATCACCTTACTGAGTGTAAAGGAAGTGAGATGAAGAAATTACAGAAGTATTGAATAGGAAAAGAAAGGGTCGGGGGGAATGCGGAAGAGAGTGGACATAGAGGTGAATACAAGGTTGAGAAAAGAAGAAAACAGCACACACCCATGGGAACCTAGAGTCTATCACTACATTTCCCATCATAAAACTCAACACAGGGCTTCCTGTTAAGCCTTTATGTTAACATGGATATTAATGTAAGCTTTTAATAACAGAGAAAAATGATCTGAGATTTGTTCCAATATATTATTCATAAGTTGTGCTTAAGCGACCAAAGCAGTGAATGTATTTTCTCTCACAAACAGAAACTCCAGGGCAGAAGAACATTTAGTGAAACTCTCACTGGGCTGAATGGTCACCACACAACTGATAAATGCCATATTAGATAACATTGGCCTGGCACAGTGGCTCGGGCCTGTAATTCCAGCACTTTGAAAAGCCAAGGTGGGAGGATCGCTTGAGGCCAGGAGACTAGCCTGGGCAACATAGTGAGACTCCGTCTCCAGCGAAAAAAAATTTTTAAATTAGCCAGGCATGATGGTGCATGCCTGTGGTCCTAGCTACTTGGGAAGCTGAGGTGGGAGGATTGCTTGAGCCTGGGAGTTTGAGGCTGCAGTGAGCTATGCTCACACCCCTGCACTCCAAGCTGGGTAACAAAGTAAGACCTTGTCTCAGAAAACAAACAAACAAACAAACAAACAAAAAACAACTAAAACCAAACCAAAACAACAACAACAAAAAACGATAACATGAAATTTCTAGGACACATTTCTCTCCTCCTCCCCATGTTATCTTACCCCAAGACCCTCTTAATGATTTGGGTTTGAACATGGGACATCTTTTTTTTTCCATAAGTTATTGGGGTACAGGTGGTATTTGGTTACATGAGTAAGTTCTTTAGTGGTGATTTGTGAGATTTTGGTGCATCCATCACCCGAGCAGTATACATTGCATCATATCTGTAGTCTTTTATCCCTCACTCCCTCCCATTCTTCCCCCTAAGTCCCCAAAGTCCAGTGCATCATTCTTATGCCTTTGTGTCCTCATAGCTTAGCTCCCACATATCAATGAGAACATACGATGTTTGGTTTTCCATTTCCAAGTTACTTCACTTAGAATAATAGTCTTCAGTCTCATCCAGGTCACTGCAAATGCTGTTAATTCATTCCTTTTTATGGCTGCATAATATTTCATCGCATGTATATACCACAGTTTCTTTATCCATTCATTGATTAATGGGCATTTGGGTTGGTTCCATGATTTTGGAATTATGAATTGTGCTGCTACAAACATGCATGTGCAAGTATCTTTTTTGAATAATGACTTCTTTTCCTCTGGGTGTATACCCAGTAGGGGGATTGCTGGATCAAATGGTAGTTCTGCCTTTAGTTCTTTAAAGAATTTCCACACTGTTTTCCATAGTGGCTGTACTAGTTTACATTCCCAGCAGCAGTGTAGAAGTGTTCCCTGTTCACTGCATCCACATCAACATCAACCGTTTTTTGATTTTTTGATTATGACTACTCTTGCAGGAGTATGTGGTATCACATTGTGGTTTTGATTTGCGTTTCCCTGATCATTAGTGATGTTGAGCATTTTTTTCATATATTTGCTGGCCATTTGTATATCTTCTTTCAAGAATTGTCTATTCATGTCCTTAGCCCACTTTTTGATGGGATTGTTTGTTTTTTTCTTACTGATGTGTTTGAGTTTGTTGTAGATTCTGGATATCAGTCCCTTGTCAGATGTATAGATGGTGAAGGTTTCCTCCCACTCTGTGGGTGGTCTGTTTACTCTGCTGACTATTCCTTTTGCTGTGCAAAAGCTCTTTAGTTTAATTAGGTCCCAGCTATTTATCTTTGTTTTTATTGCATTTGCTTTTGTGTTCTTCGTCATGAAATACTTGCCCAAGCCAATGCCTAGAAGGGTTTTTCCAATGTTATCTTCTAGAATTTTCATAGTTTCAGGTCTTAATACATCTTGAGTTGATTTTTGTGTAAGGTGAGAGATGAGGATCCAGTTTCATTCTCTTACATGTAGCTAGCTAATTATCCCATCACCATATGTTAAAAAGGGTGTCCTTTCCCCACTTTATGATTTTGTTTGCTTTGTTGAAAATCAGTTGGCTGTAAGTATTTGGGTTTATTTCTAGGTTCTCTATTCTGTCCCATTGGTCTATGTGCCTATATTTATACCTTTACCGTGCTGTTTTGGTGACTATGGCCTTATAGTGTAGTTTGAAATCAGGTAGTGTGATGCCTTCAGATTTGTTCTTTTTGCTTAGTCTTGCTTTGGCTATACGGGCTATTTTTTGGTTCCATATGAATTTTAGAATTGTTTTTTTTCTAACTCTCTGAAGAATGATCATGGTATTTTGATGTGGATTGTGTTGAATTTGTAGATAGATTGCTTTCGGCAGTATGGTCATTTTCACAATATTGATTCTACCCATCCATGAGCATGGGATGTGCTTCCATTTGTTTGTGTCATCTATGATTTCTTTCATCAGTGTTTTATAGTTTTCCTTGTACAGGTCCTTTGACTTCTTGGTTAGATATATTCCTAAGTAGTTTTTTTTTTTTCAGCTATTGTAAAAGGGGTTGAGTTCTTGATTTGATACTCCACTTGGTCGCTGTTCGTATATAGAAAAGCTACTGATTTGTGTACATTATTCTTGTATCCAAAAACTTTGCTGAATTATTTTTTAAGTTCTAGGAGCTTTCTGGAGGAGTCCTTAGGATTTTCAAAGTAAACGATCATATCGTTAGCAAACAGTGACAGTTTGACTTCCTGTTTACCAATTTGGATGTGCTTTATTTCTTTCTCTTGTCTGATTGCTCTGGCTAGGACTTCCAGTACTATATTGAAGAGGAGTGGTGAGAGTGGGCATCCTTGTCTTGTTCCCTTCTCAGAGGGAATGCTTTCAACTTTTCCCCATTCAGTATTATGTTGGCTGTGGGTGAACATGGGATATCTTATTAGTCATGGAGCATTGGACAAATTGTCTTTCTGTGCCTCTAAGTCAGATAATGTGTGTGATGTATAAGGCCCAGCATATGTTTTAAGCCACTAAAAGTTGTGGTATTTTTTTATTGCACCAGCAGGAAGCTAACACACAGAGTGTCCCTCACTCACAGCCCTCTACGACTCGGATTGTAGCCCTGATAGTTAACAATCCTCACAGTGAGATACCTGTCATCCCAGCAATGATGCCTGTAGTCTGTATGGGGGAAATAAGCAGCCAAATCCATTGTCCAGAGTCATTTTGAATTCATAAGATATTACATTTCTCCATATGCAATCACAGCCATTTATACCTGTATATTACTTCAAAATGTACAGCTTTTATATATAGAATTGCATGTCATATACCCAAGATAAGCAGGGATTTTAATTCCCATTTTAGAGGTAAAGTGGTTGAGGCCATGAGAAGTTAAGTGGTTTCCGGACTCAAGTTCAAGCAAATGGAAACGAAGGGAGACAGGTGTGAACCGGGGCTTTCTGACTACAAGTGAACATAGTGGTGTCTCTATAGGAGTGAGAGAGTCAGCAGCATTTATTGCATCTACCTGTATGCAAAGCCAAGGTGTATGAAATATCCAAAGTGTAGATGCCAAGGTATCATCTCTCAGGAGCTTTCCATGGGTTTGGAGATTAAATGCAAACATTCTAGGGAAAGACAAGAACATTGTGCAGCCCTACACCGTGGGCTCCAAGGCTCTACATGACCTGGTCTCTGCCTTCCTTCTTGACTTCATCCTGTCCCTCCCTCGCTCTGTTCAATATGCCCCAACCATACCCGACTGATCTTTGGTTCTCAAATATGACTCTTGCTTTGCATTTTGTTTTGCCTGGATCAATATTCATCTATATTTTTGTACAGCTGTGTCTGTCTCAATGCTGAGGTTTCAAATCAAATACCATCTCCTCATGGAGATCCTGCCTGACTTCCTATCTAACTAGAGTCAAATATCCTCCACTTATTCTAAATATCTTGGAGATGCTCTCTTCTATTCCATCATCCTGATTTCATGTTTGGAATATTACATCATTTGTTAAAATTATTTTATTTTATGTGTTTGTGTATTGTCTATACACTTTCTGTATTGGAAGATGAGCTACTTGTGTGCAGGGATCTTATATCCCATATTTACTATTGCCCCTGTCACCTGGAACAAGGTTTGGTACAGAAGGTATCTGTATAAAATGCTTGTCAAAATGGGCAAGAAGACAGGTGCACAAGACTCTAGGATGTACATTACCCTAGGTAAGGATACTTTAGGAGAGAAAGACATGTATGACTCTGGAGTCAGAAGATAGTCGGGTCCAATTTTCAGCTTTTTCACTGACTAACACTGTGCAATCTGGGAATTTGCTTTAAATGCTATGAAGCTCTAACTTCTCATGAATAAATGGTGCTATACACTGTGCTTTGCTCCAATGTTGCTGTGAGGCTACACCAAGATAAACCATGTGCTGTGCTTAGCACAGTATCTGGCCCATATTAAAGGACCAGCGTGAGCTCCTGTCACTGCAGGATGCTGTACACAGGGAACGGAACGCATGCCAAGCTGGAGAGAATAACACACTGCAGTAGATTGGATCATTGTTCCCAATGCCTCCTGCCCTCCTGCATTTATTTTTTACACACTCATCCTTTGCCATGTGGCTTTGCAGCTCCTCGTGCTAGAGGAGAACTGCCTTTCCCCATCTGATGCTGGACATGGCCATATGGGTTGCTTTGGTGGATGGAATGTGGACAGAGCAGCAGGTTTCTGATCTGGATGAGACTTCAAGAAGCACCACAATCTCAACTCATGCTTGTTCTCCTGTAATTAATAGAAGAGTTAATCCTGGGTGACAACTGCCCCTTCAGCCTGCATATCCACCAGCATAAACATTACACAAGTCAGTACATACAACATTTCTATCATCCAGGAAGCTGTTCCTTCCCTTTTCCAGAAATAGCCAACTCCTCAAATGCAACCACTTTTTAAATTCTACCATCTTAGATTAACTTTGCATGTCTTTAGACATCATATAAATGAAATCATATTTTTAGTCTTCTCATCCCTAAAGTAAGACATTTCTCTTCACCAAAACAAGTCAAGATTTCATGGAAGATGTGGGAAGATGTTACCATTTCTTTCATTTCTATTGCACTTGAGGAGCATCCATTCTCTGAATACTTAAACATTTCAGGGTTGCATTTTCCTTTCAGTCTTCCATTCTCTTCTTAACTGTAAAAATCTTAAGCAACCTTTGTTGGCAGGAGAGTCTAAGTAAGCCCTCCAGGAAAGTTTGATACGTCAACATTCAAATCATGCACATGTATGACTTTCCTCATGGTGACTTTGATTTACTGGCAACCTAGTAAAGGAACTAGTTTACAAGCTATGACAGTGTCAGGGACACTTTTGTAGTCTCACACCACTTTCCCGCCACTATACAGCCTATCATAACTTTCGTCTAAGGTAGAGATCTACAAACACAGTCATACCTCTGTGAAAACAAAGGGATGTTGCTCTCCTTCAAATGCAGCCCCAAGTATGCATGCTGCTATCTGCCTTCTCTGTCATTGATAAATTACACAAGCAGCGCTTATCAGATGAAGCACCTACTTATGTCGAATGAATGGCAGCTTCCTTAAAAAAAAAGAGATTTGCATTAAAACACTGATACATCTAGAGTTTCCACTGCATGGTAAATTGTTGAACTGGTTGGTATTAGCTGTCATTGGCACCTGTGAGTTCTTCGTGTATTGCTGAATGAAGCTGAAGTGCTAAGTTCTTAGGGATGTTGACAGATTTTAATTCCTGCTCTTTATCATTGGATAGCAAGCTCATGTTTGATATCACTTTTCACCCACATATTCATTTTAACTTCCACTCCCAATTTTCATTAACAGTTAAAAAGTGGCACTTGTGATTATTTTATGAGGCATACATCATTCAAACTTAGTTGGAGTGGAAGTCAATCTGAAGATGGGGGTGAAAAGCAACTACTTATGTCAGAATGAATTCCAGGTTCTGATGGCAACTTCTTTCCCCCCTCAAAAAAAAGAGTTGCATTTAAACACTAATACATCTAGAGTTTCAATTGCATGGCCAATGGTTGAACTGGTTTGTCTCTAAAGATGCTCATGATTGCAGATGCACATTTCTTTTTTTTAATTATTATTATTATTATTATACTTTAAGTTTTAGGGTACATGTGCACAATGTGCAGGTTAGTTACATATGTATACATGTGCCATGCTGGTGCGCTGCACCCACTAACTCGTCATCTAGCATTAGGTATATCTCCCGATGCTATCCCTCCCCCTCCCCCCACCCCACAACAGTCCCCAGAGTGTGATGTTCCCCTTCCTGTGTCCATGTGTTCTCATTGTTCAATTCCCACCTATGAGTGAGAATATGCGGTGTTTGGTTTTTTGTTCTTGCGATAGTTTACTGAGAATGATGATTTCCAATTTCATCCATGTCCCTACAAAGGACATGAACTCACCATTTTTTATGGCTGCATAGTATTCCATGGTGTATATCTGCCACATTTTCTTAATCCAGTCTATCACTGTTGGACATTTGGGTTGGTTCCAAGTCTTTGCTATTGTGAATAGTGCCGCAATAAACATACGTGTGCATGTGTCTTTATAGCAGCATGATTTATAGTACGTTGGGTATATACCCAGTAATGGGATGGCTGGGTCAAATGGTATTTCTAGCTCTAGATCCCTGAGGAATCACCCTAAAACCATAAAAACCCCAGAAGAAAACCTAGGCATTACCATTCAGGACATAGGCATGGGCAAAGACTTCATGTCTAAAACACCAAAAGCAATGGCAACAAAAGCCAAAACTGACAAATGGGATCTAATTAAACTAAAGAGCTTCGGCACGCAAAAGAAACTACCATCAGAGTGAACAGGCAACCTACAAAATGGGAGAAAATTTTTGCAACCTACTCATCTGACAAAGGGCTAATATCCAGAATCTACAATGAACTCAAATAAATTTACAAGAAAAAAACAACCCACCCCATCAAAAATTGGGCAAAGGACATGAACAGACACTTCTCAAAAGAAGACATTTATGCAGCCAAAAAACACATGAAAAAATGCTCACCATCACTGGCTATCAGAGAAATGCAGCTGCACCTTTCTTTTAACAATTTGAATGAAACTTTCCTCCAATAAAATTTCCTTTTCTCCAAGCCTCTTTAGGTCTGAAGAGTTTAGACATTGATATTCTTTGGCCTGCTTGGAATGCTATTTCTCATCCTCTTTTCCTTTTGTAAGAACAGCATTGAGGTTTATCTTTGAGGATTCCTCTCTCTGCTCCTCTGGGGTTTTCTGGTCTTGGTCAGGAGAACCAGGCATAGGACCCCAATCAGTCAGAGCACTAGGTCCTCTAGGACCACAGTGATGGGTTCAGGATGGACACACAGATCCCAGCTTTGAGATTGTTGCTGGGTTGTTGGAAAAGAGGCCACCTTTCTGCTGTGTAAGTCACTTTTGGCTGAAGCAGTTTCTTTCCCCTGGTTTCCTTGAAGCAACGTCTGTCTGTCATCCTGGGTGTGCTGCAGGTTTGCCTGTGAAGTCATTTCCGGTGTGTATACCCAAGCACTACCAAAAAGCTCTGTGCTCAAAGCATGCAGTTCTGTGCTTCAAGTCTGCTGGCGTCTGAGTACAAAAGACTTTCATAGGTGACCAGCTCTTAGGGACTGAATTGTGTTCCCCGAAAATTCATATCTTTAAGTCTTAAATTCGAGTAACTCAGAAAGTGACCATGTTTGGAAATAGTTTCATTGCTGAGGTAATTAGTTAAGATGAGGTCTTTAGGGTGGACCCTAATCTAATATGACTGGTGTCCTTGTAAGAAGGGAGACCAGGTGCAGGGGCTCACACCTGTAATCCCAGCACTTTGGGAGGCCAAGGCAGGATTGCCTGAGCCCAGGACCAGCAATGTAGTGGTCCTGAGACCAGCCTGGACAATATAGTGAGACCCCTTCTCTAGAAAAATGAAAATAAAAAAATTAGCCAGGCATGGTGGTGCATGCCTGTAGTCCCAGCTACTCAGGAGGCTGAGGTGGGAAGATTGTTTGAGCCTGGGAGGTCAAGCCTGCAGTAAGCTGTGATCCTGCCACTGCACTCAAGACTGGGCAACAGAGCAAGACTCTGTCTCAGAAAAAAGAGGGGGTCAGGGAATGTTGGACACACACACACACACACACACACACACACAGAAAGAGAGAGAGAACGCTGTGTAAAGATGAAGGGCAGAGATTGGGGCTGTGCTTCTCTACAAGACAAGGTATTTCAAAGATTGCCAGTGAACAACCAGAAGCTACAAGATTCTCTCTCGAGAAAGAACTAACCCTGTCAACACCACGATCTTGGACTTCCAGCCTCCAGAACTTTGAGATAATAAATTTCTGTTGTTTTAAGCCACCCAGTTTGTGGTGCATTTTTAAAAGATCCCTAGCAAACTAATACTCAGACGCAAACCTGGCTGTGAGATGAATAAATTCCCATGGTCAAAATGCTAACAGTAAATCCAGTGACCACTGTCAATTATCGTAAGTCTTTTGTTCTCCTGACCCTTGCAGTATATCAGTGGAAACTGCATACAGTGAGGTTATTATACAGGAGCTAGTAACGTTTAGCTGCATATGAACTGCCATCCTTTGTCAGTGTTTCTCAAAAATGATTTGTGATTAAGAAAACAAGTGGGGGACGTAGGCCAATATGAGCAGCTTACAAAATAAGGCTTTTGCAAAATACCATTAAATTGTCACAGGCCAACTGTTCTCACAATTGTATACGATAATTCTGTGTTGTTAGTCCAAACTGGGAAAAATAATCTCCTTATGCAAAATATATGTGATTAATAAAAGATGAACATTTTTATTCAGAAGTTCTTGCCCTTCCAAATACTAATTATATTTATTCCTTTTTATTCAGCTTTTTTATATAAATGTAATTATTGTTTAGGAAATTCATAAACATTTGTTGAACAGCAATGCTGATCACATCTCTTCAGTTGTGACTTGCAAAGCATTTCATTAAAATGAATTTTGCACCAAGCTTCACCCAGTGAATTTAACTGTGACAACAGAATAAAGCCACACATATACCAGGCACTTTAAAATGCTTCTGTACATATTATTAGCCAATGTTGCTGAAAAAATTACTTGTTTCCAAAGAAATGAGGAAAGGAGGTCAGGATGATGATGAACACAGAAACACTTCACAATGTAATCTACACAGACCTTGGTTTCAGCTTTTTTCACTTTCTGGTTTGTATGAGAAAAAGTAATGAAAACATCCACCTTACAGAAATAGCTTGGGTGAAAAAAGATGGCTTTTGAAGAACTCTTGTGGGATTTCTTGTTGACACTGCAGTCATTTGGCCAGGTGCAGTGTTTGTAAACACTCACCTGCACCAGTTCCTCCCCTGAACTCAGTGGGAGGAAGCACTTGTGAAGAGGGCCGTGAGAGCTGTACAAAAATTGTTTATGATGCATAAAAGCCCTTGTGGAGAAAAATGGTTTACCTGTGGCATCTTACAATGTTTGTGGTGTACACTTAAGCAGAGTGAGGGAACTGTAACATATTCAATTTCCCTGGAAGGAGTGCAGAAAATGCCACCCAAAATATGACACTTTGGTATGACTAATTACTTTGAACCAAGGGAATTTGGTAAACAGAAGGTGCAGGCAGAGGCTTTCTTTGAGCTTGTCTTATCTGCTTAAAAAGGGATCCTCCAAAAGGAACTCAATTGTCTTGAATTCCCTGCCTAGGAAGGAATCTTATCAATCAGAGAAGATTAACTTGGATTACAGGAGAGAACACTGGAGGTCGACAGCAGCCTGGATACTTTTATTACCTGAGAGACTTTTTATCTGCATGGTATGGTTTGGCTGTGTCCCCACCCAAATCTCATCTTGAATTGTAGCTCCCGTAATCCCCACATGTCATGGGAGGGACTGGGTGGGAGGTAACTGAATCACGAGGGAGGTTTTTTCCTGTGCTGTTCTCATGATAGTGAATAAGTCTCACAAGATCTGATGGTTTTATAAAGGGCAGTTCCCCTGCACACACTCTCTTGCCTGCCACCATATAAGATGTGCCTTTGTTCCTCCTTCACTTTCCGCCATGACTGCGAGGCCTCCCCAGCCATGTGAAACTGTGAGTCCATTAAACCTCTTTTTCTTTATAAATTAGCCAGTCTCGGGCATTTCTTCATAGCAGTATGAAAATGCACGAATACACTGCCTAACAAGACGACCGTACACTTCTTCCTCTCACCCTCCCAGAACTTGTGTCATCACCTCCCTCTAGGAGCCCCAAGCCCATATTCCTTTCTGTAGCTCAGGATCCTGTATAAGCTTCAATCACATGTCTCTTCTACTCTGATGTTTTGTGGGACTCCCATGTGTACTTGCATAGTTCAATATGGTTTTTCTCCTGTTAGTCTGTCTTACATCAGTTTAATTTGTAGCCCAGCTAAGGAACTTACAAGGATGGAAGATAGCCCCGTCTTTCTCTGCTACATTCTCTAGTTTAAAAAATCATTTGTTATTAATTCCTCAAGTTTAACTTTATTCTTTCCAAAGTACAATATTGTGCAAGGAGATCACCAAAGAGCTTTCTCCTTGGAACCCATCTCTCTAGGTGCCTCAGGGGCCTCATTTGAAAGTTTCTTTTGTTGTTGTTGTTGTTGTTGTTGTTGTTGTTGTTGTTGTTTTGAGACTGTCTCACTGTGTTCGCCCAGGCTGGAGTCCACTGGTGAGATCTTGGCTCACCACAACCTCCGCCACCCGTGTTCAAGAGATTCTCCTGCCTCAGCCTCCCGAGTAGCTGGGACTACAGGCGCACACCCCCATGCCTGGCTAATTTTTGTATTTTAAGAGAGATTGGGTTTCACTATGCCAAGCTGGTCTCGAACTCCTGATCCGCCTTCCTCAGCCTCCCAAAGTGCTGGAATTACAGGCATGAGCCACCGTGCCCGGCCTGGAAAGTTTCTACCTAATTTTTCCCATTCCCGTGCCTACAAGACCCGCCTGAGCAGAAAGTATGCTGGACACTTGCCGGTGGAGGAGAGCATTTTTTTTCTCTCTCTCTCTTTTTGTAGAGAGTGGTGAAAAGCACTAGCTGGCACTGCCTTTTAGAAATGCATCTGATTTACATGCAGGCCTAAAAAGAGAAACATCCAGGACAAAGGAGACTTCTGCTTCTGGCTAAAGTCAGGTCATTTACACAGCAGTGAAATTCCAGGATCAAGTCAGCAAGATACACAGTAGGATAACTGTCAACCATTTAGCTTATATCAAACACATTATTCTGCAGAATCCTCTTAAGATACTTTTCTGTCACAGACACTTGCACATAATCACAATGTTACAGACCAGCAGATCTTGGCACTACTAAAATAAACACTTTTAATATTCAGAGAATTTATTTGCCCTTCTTAGTAAATAGCTGGAGAGAGCAACTCAATTTTATGTTGATAAGATACAGAACAGGTATAGCTGTGACCTAAGTTTTATGGTATGTAAATATTCACCAACATTGTCATTCTCTCTCTAAGACAGTATAAAGTCCAGCCCTGTATTTTCTCCTTTCTTAAGGATTTAACCTGGCAGGCCTAGGACTGCATTTGTCAGAAGACCCTGGCTGGCACCTGGTAAAGGTGGCTTACTATGCCCAGACATTTTGTACAAATAATACAATCCCTGCCATACACCTGCTTTCCTTCTGGAATTTTAGTACCTCCCAGGAAGAGGGTGCCTATGGAATCAGCCCCTAGTAAAAATCCTGGGCATTGAGTCTCTAATGGACTTCTCTGTTATACCTGGCAGATTTCACACACATTGTCACTTGTATTCGCTGGGGAATTGTGTCCTGTGTGACTCCATGGGGAGAGGTTGAGGCTCGTCTCCCCCAGACTTCACACCATCCACCTTTTACGTTGGCTGACTGTCCTTCATATCTTTTTGTGGTAGTAAAACTTAGCCGTAATTATAAACCAGCAGATCTTGGCACAACTAAAATAAACATTTTTTAATATTTAGAGAATTTATTTGCACTTCTTAGTAAACAGCCTGAGAGAACAACTCGATTTTATGTTGTTAAGGTAACTTATCAGCATAACACTATATGCCGAGTCCTGTGAGTCCTCCTACTGAATTATGAAGCCTGGGGTGGCCTTTGGAAACTACAGGCCCTTTCCCCACCTCCCACCCTACCAAGGCTCCTTATTAAACTGCCAACTGGAGCTATTAACTTCTGTTTTTAGTTAAAATTAATAGCCAAGATTAATATAAAGGAGGCAGGAGAAAGGGAATTGTAGTTTTCAGTTTCGCACGAAATATTTTCTAAGTTAGTGAAAAACAAAATCCAGCTCACATCTCAGCAAATGTTATCCCCACATTTGCAAAATGCCCTGGTACTTGCTGATACAAGGCTTTGTCTTCCTGTGCAGTATCAGGGTCAGGGGCATACACATGTCATTCAGGTCCTGGCTTCCCTTCCTACCAGGCGACCTTGGATCCTAACAATCAATTAGACCATGATGTAAAAGACTTAGCTCACTGCCTGTTGCTAGATATCACTCACTAAAAGTTATTGTTGTGTTGTTGCTATCATTATTATTATTATTATTACCTGTCATCTTCCAAGCATACAGCCCCTGGTTCAGGTTTAATTATCAGAGTGACCTAAAAGGCCTGTGCTCACTGTGGGTGGGCTTCCTAAGCCCAGGTATTAAAAACGAGATAAAGACTCCATTATTTGACAACAGAAGTATATTAAATATTTGCAAATAGAATTTCAAAAATCACCCTTTTATTTGACAGTTCTTAATTATTCTCAGGGGTTCCATTGAGAAAATGCCTGATAGAATTTCTTGGTTTCTTTTTTTTTTTTTTCTGAGACAGAGTCTTGCTCTATCGCCCAGGCTGGATTGCAGTGGCATGAACTCTGCTCACTGCAACCTCCGCCTCCCAGGTTCAAGCAATCCTCCTACCTCAGCCTCCCAAGTAGTTGGGATTACAGGCATACACCATCAAACCCAGCTAATTTTTGTATTTTAGTACAGACGGGGTTTTACCGTGTTGGCCAGGCTGGTCTTGAACTCCTGACCTCAGGTGATCCACCCGCCTTGGCCTCCCAAAGTGCTGGGATTACAGGCGTTAGCCACTGCACCCGGCCAATTTCTTGGTTTCTCAAGAAAAATGGAGGATATGTTAGGCACATTGTTCAAGTTGATAATAGTAATGAATTCAGTGGAGTATGGAGTGAAAAACACTGTCACATCTGAGAGCTTGGACGGATCCCATGTAAGGAGAAATTGAAGGAGTACCATGCCCTAAGAAACGCCCAACAGGCCTGAAGCAGGAAGGTGTCCCTCCACATTCAAAAGGATGGAAAGAGAGAGGCAGATGGTGTCTCTTATTCACTGTGATTGAGAGACAGTGGCAGGTGGCATTCCTCATTCAACATGGTGTAGAGACAGACAGGAGATATCTTTCATCTAATATAGCAGAAAAACCATTAAATCTGCTATAAGAATAATCGTTGTTCACGTTTTGGCCCCAGGTCTTACCAAATGAGTGACTTTCACAAATCAGTTCGCTTACTCTTAGATCATCATAAAAGATTGATAAATGTGATAATTAACCTACTATTTGTGAATTTAGTGACTTGATTCTGAAACTTCACTATCTTGTGAATGACCTGACTTACTTGTTGGTATCTTACATGGATTTTTGGTGTATATGTGTCACTGGTATTCTGACACATTTTCAAATGATTGCTACCAGTGTTACTTTTCACTCTTAAATGGACTCAAATTTGCTAGGTCTGTCCCGCAAATCCTGGCCAACAGATGAAATGAGTACTCAGACACAAGTATGTAGCGTAAGAGCAGCTGGGTGACTGCCTGGCTCTAGTGACCAGAGAGCAGCCCCAAGAAGCTGGAGCTGCTTGCTTTTATTCAGTGCAGGCACAATGCCGAAAACCTGGAGCCCACACAACCTGTAGGTAATTAACATTTATTGTTTCCCCTTTCAGGAAGAGTCATGCGCATGGATGATCAAAGGTCAGTTCCTGGTCAACATAACTAAACAAGCTTGTTTGAGATAAATTCCCCCACATTCCCTTGTAGCTACTCCTTGCCCTTTGCCTCAGGGTTATAGAACAGCTGCCTTCAGCTATTCTCCCCTGGGGGCTCTGCAGAAACTTCTGACCTTTCAGAAGATTTGCGTCCTTTCCATATAGTTTTCCCACCACTCTGAGTGATCCCCCACATCTCCCTCTTTTCTGGTTTTTTTTTGTTTTTTGGGGGTTTTTTTGCACTAGGTTTTGTTGATTGAAGCATACAGATGTGCACAGCAACAGTTTTGACTGGCACAGCAGTTACAGCTTGTGTTCTGGCTTTACATCCCAGAACCAGTAAATAACATAAGACAAACATGAGTATAATCAGTATTATTCTTTTCCAATCAAGGTGTGATATGTAGTGTTACTTAGCACCTCAGTCCAATGTGTGCCATTACTGAGGGACCCCACTGGGGGGTATGTCAATCCCTCCTAGCCAATCAGTCACGTTATTAGAGCCTGGGAAGGGAGTGTCTGCCCAAGTAACAGAGTGGGAAAAAAGGCAGATCTAGAAGATGGGCCCAATAGAGTGTAGCAGTTACAGGTAGCAGGCAAAGTGAGAGAATAAAAAAGCTTAATACCCTACGAGAGTTGCAATGTACAACAGCATAGCGAGGAACACATTACCTGGAGTGAATGGTGTCTGTGCCTGGAGCAGGATTTGCTTGGCCTCCTGAGTTGTCTTCTTCAGCATCCCCCAGGTAATGTCCAGGGCCTGTGTCATCCAAGGAAGCCACATCATCCGGGATTGTGGGTCCTGTAGGGTCATTTTCTTCATTTTGGTACCGGGTTGGGTCCTAGCCATGCCATGGTATGGTTTGATGCCTCGTGCTGGAATCCAAAGAGGACCTGACGGGGTGTGAACACAAGCATATCCTCTTTCCCACATTAGCAAATCATTTGGACCACACCATATATTACTATTTACATCCTTCCATAAAACTGAAGGTTTTATATCTTGAGTGATTTTTGCAAAGCGCTTTTCTATACCTAATTGAAATTTATCATCTAAATTGAAGAAATTAAGGGTAAATAAGGCTTGTGCCAATAGTGTTGCAGGGTCCTTACTCATATTCTGCCTTTTTTGTTTTCTGAGCTTATTTTTAAGGGTGGAGTGGGCACATTCTACTATGGCCTGTCCTTGAGGGTTATACGGGCTACCCGTGGAATGTTGGACATTCCATGTGTGACAAAATTTTGAAATTGTGAGCTAGTGTAAGCCAGACTGTTATCAGTTTTAATCTTTGTGGGCCATGCCATAAATGTAAAAGGTTAAGAGAAGATGTTTAATGACATATCGGGCTGACTCTCTAGGAAGAGCATGAGCACTAATTAAGTGGGAATAGGTATCAACAGATACATGTACATACCTTAGTTTTCCAAATTCAGGGACGTGCATAACATCTGTTTGCCATAACTCATTAGGTTCTAGTCTTCTAAGGTTAACACCTGTTGAAGGAGGGGATGTGCCTGTGAGCTGGCAATCTGGGCAATGTAAAATAATTTGTTTAGTCTTTGGGTAAGTTGAAATTGTTTAGCTAAAGTTCTCCAATTCTGATGAAAAAATAGATGTGATTGTGTGGCTTGGTCAAGTAGTGACCTCATGACCTGCAAATCTGCTTGATCATTGCCATGAGCCAGCGGACCAGGCAGCGAGCTGTGGGCCTGAATGTGTGTGATAAAAACAGGATGTGTTCATTGATCCAACAATTGCTGAAGTCAGAGAAAAAGGGCACACAGGGTGGGCTCAAGAGTGGATTTAATGAGAGCTGTTTCAAGGTTTTGCACTAAATAAACAGAATAAGCAGAGTCACTAACGATATTGATGGGCTGAACGGAAAAGGTTTCCAGGGCCAATATTAGGGCTCCAACCTCAGCTCTCTGAGTGCTAGTAAATCCAGATCGAGTGAGAGAGTTATGCGGTTCCCACCAGATAGCCGCTTTTCCTCTGATTGCCTGCATTGCCTGTAACAGTCTATATTAGCATTTTCATAAGCCAATTGCAACAATAAGATATCAGCGGCCTGGGCATGACTAATTTGTCTCTTAATTGCCTGGGTTAACTGATTGATAAATTCAACAAATGGCTCCTGAGGCCCTTGTCAAACATTTACAAAAGATCCCTGTTGAACTCCACCTTCGGAAATTTGGTCCCAAGCCCTGCAGTCACATAAGGACACTTGTGCACAGGCTTGGGGGACAAAATTTAATTGTTGTACATTGACATAGGGACCCCTCCCCTACAGCATAGCAGCCGTTACGTTTTGCCTGGCCAATTGATTTTGGTTGGCTTGTTGTTCACACAACTCATCATATTCTGCCCTCCAGAGGAGATACTGACTGGCCTCTAAAGTTGTTTTAGCTAGCACTGACCAGTCCCATGGGGTTATATGGAGATTATCTGCTATGGCCTCAATTAATCCTTTCATAAATGGGCTAGCAGCTCCGTTTTCTCTAATGCTTTTTCTTATCTCTTTATAAGTCTTGAAAGTAACGGGTTCATGTAACTAATTGCCTTGTTGACCTTGCATCACCAGGCAGGACAAGAGTTCCCCTTCTAATGCCACTTGCCTAAGACAGGGTCCCATAACTGTAGTGTATCCCTTGCCTTTTTTCTAATTTATTGGAGGAGGAGGACTCAGGGAAAACCTTTCTCTCCTCTGTGGCACCTTTACCTGGTAATGGAGGGGCTGAGGGAGGAGGAGGAGGTGATAAGGTAGATGATGGTTCTTCCTCCCCTCCCTTTTTAGGCTCTTCTGTGTAGAGTGGGGCCAAAGCAGCCCTAACTAAGGCCCATAACATTAAAGATGTTACTGGGACCCGTTGCCCTTGCGCACGATGTTGTTTAAGACTTTTTCCCACTGTTCCCAGAGCTCTAGGTCTAACGTGACTTTTTCTGGGAACCACGCGTTGTGGAAAACAACAGTTTGCATTAGGTCCCTTAATTGGGCCTCTGAGACCGAGGCTCTGCTAGCTTTAAGCAGCTGTTTCAATACTTTATATACTGTTGCTGTTGAGCTGATAATTGTTGTCCCATGAAGAAACCCTAGCTTGAAAATCCCCTCGAACTTGGAAATCCCCAGCGCGCACCAATTACTTACTGCTCAGTCACTTCACATTTGTTTTCAGGGGTTCCCTTGCAATCCATTGCAGCGTTCCTCACATGGGGCACCACCTGCCTGGTCTGTCCCACAGACCCTGGCCGATGGATGAAGCGAGTACTCAGAGACAGGTATGCAGCATAACAGCAGCTAGGTGACTGCCTGGCTCTAGTGGCCAGAGAGCAGCCCTGAGAAGTTGGAGCTGCTTGTTTTTATTCAGTGCAGGCACAATGCCGATAACCTGGAGCAAACACAACCTGTGGGTAATTAACATTTATTGTTCTCCTTTCAGGGAACGTCATGCAGATAATCAAAGGTCAGTTCCTGGTCAACATAAGTAAACAAGCTTATTTAAGGTAAATTCCCCCAAACTCCCTTGTACCTACTCCTTGCCCTCTGCCTCAGGGTTATAGAACAGCTGCCTTCAGCCATTGTCCCTTGTGGCTCTGCAGAACCTTCCAACCTTTCAGAAGGTTTGTGTACTTTCTCTACAGTTTTTCCTACCATTCTGACTGATCCCCTACACAAATTGTTGGGAAACTCTCAATAGCAAGCAATTAATGTCCCTACAAACAATCATGCCAGAAGGTTAAGTACTTCTTTCAGGACATTGAGTTCTCCCTTTCCAGAAGTCCCTTATTTAATTCACATACACTTTCACTAAACTTCAACTGAGTGTCTGCTCTCCCCATAACCCCGCAACGGTCAGAGGGTGGAGACAGGGGCAAGTCATTGCTCTTGTCCTCATGGGACTCTATGGACAAGATCCATAAAAGCTGGCTCAGTTTGTGAGAGGTAGTGGCCAGATGGGGTTTTTTTTTTTTGGATAAGGTGCCTACTTATGCTGATATAGCCATACCACTACATAAGAGACAGGACACACTTTTTCATTTCAATTCAAATAGAACTTTAAATTTTCATATAGGGCTTCCTTTGTTGTAGGAGGAACCATTTGAATATCTTCAGTTACTTTTTAAGTGAAGGAGAAGGAAACACCTATTTTTTCCCAATGCCTGCATTTAGAATTTTTCAGAAGATAATTTAGAAAAAATTTGTATAAGAGCCAAGGAGCCTCCAAAGGGAAACCATTATATACAAATCCACTTGGATTTTATATTGATCTTATATCCTGCAATCTTATTCAACTTGCTTATTAGTTCTAGTAGCTTTTCTGTTGGTTCCATTTTTAAATAAATAATCATAGTATCTGTAAAGACAGTTTTCAATTTGGATATCTTTTTTTTTCTTACCCTACTGTACTGACTAGAACTCCTAGCACAATATTAAAGAGAAGTAGTGAAAGTGGACATCCTTTTCTCATCCCTATTTCCAGTGGGAAACAATCCAGATTCTCATCATTTATTATGACATTAGCTGTAGCTTGTCAGAGATGCCATTTATCAAGTCGAGGAAGTTACTAGTTTGCTGATGGTTTTGATTAGGAATAGGTGTTGGATTTTCTCAAATACGTTCTATGCATCCACTGAGATAATCATGTGTCTTTTCTCTTTTAGTTTGTGATATGGTTTGGCTCTGTCCCTACCCAACTCTCATGTTGAATTATAATTCCCAGTGTTGGAGGTGGGGCCTGGTGGGAGGTGATTGGATCATGGGGGTGGTTTCTAATGGTTTAGCTCCATCCCCCTAGTGCTATTTCATGATTGAGTTCTCATGAGATCTGGTTGTTTAAAAGTGTGTAGCACCTGCCACTACTCTCTTCCTCCTGCTCCAGCCATATAGAACATGCAAGCTTCCCCTTCACTTTCCACTGTGATTCTAAGTTTCCTGAGGCCTCCCGCAGCTCATGCTTCCTGTAAAGCCTGAAGAACCATGAGCCAATTAAACCTCTTTTCTTTATAAATTACTCAGTCTCAGGTAGTTCTTTATAGCAATGTTAAAACAAACTAATACAGTTTGTTAATTTATTGCATCACATTGATTGATTTTTTTACTTTAAACCAACCTTGCATTCCCAGAACTTCACTTTGTCATGATGCATTTTTCCTTGGTATATATTGTTAGCATTCTATTTGATACATTTTTTTCATCTATCTCTATATGTTTGCATCTGTGAATGACATTTGTTTTGTAATAGTCTTTTCTTGTAATATTCTTGTATCAGGGTAAATACTGGACTTATGAAGAAGTTCATAAGTATTCTCTCCTCACACACAGGCAGTCATTAGTACTTATCTGTTTACTCTAAGTCTCTTCTCCACAAATCTCCAGCGTTCTGTATCAGTGTAACTCTCTATACTCTGGTACTGTTAACTGCAATGTCCTCAAGACTCCCAAGTTCTACCTGGGTTCTCCTCTGCACTATGATCTGGAATCTCTCTGCAAACACTAAGCTAGAGCAATCATAGAGTTCATCTCATGTTCCTTATCTCAGAGATCATTGTTCATTGCTTTATGTTCAATAGCTTAAAAACAATCATTTCATATATTTTGTGTGACTTTCCAGCTGTTTCAAGGGAGAGGGTAAATATTACTTCTCTCACTTTATCTTGGCTCCAAGCAGAATCGGGGTCCAGAATTTTGAGTCTCAAAAGTCTTTTTTCTGACTTAACCATCCTCTCCAAAGCAATGAGTGTGTCAGAAGCCAAATCTTCAAATATAAGAAGGATCATGAGATGAAATGAAATACTTAGAAGAAATATCAGTTAATATTTTTAAATGTCATACCAACGCAAAATGCCTTTTATTTTCATACTTCGATATTGATCAGAACACCAAGCTATAAACATAGAGATAAGGGGCATTCCTATGATGTTTCCCAGAGATACATATGGGGAAAGCTCTCAATGACTAATGTAGATTTTGCAATAGACTTACATGAAGTAAGATTGTTTAGAAAAGTATTGTCCTCTTACCCAACCTGTTCTCTCTTCTGAAGCTGTGGACCTTTGTAGTTCAGAGTTTGAAGAAAGAATTTTCCAAGGTCTTCTTTAGCTTTAACATTATATGTCCCTATATTAAGCTCTAATCAGAATTGCTAAGTTACAACAGTTTTAATAAAACCAGGAATACAGACTTAACTGATGCAGTAGACTGAATGGTCTCATAAGGTTAACTATGTGTTTCTTATGGAAAGATTCACAAACCTGTGATAATAATCCTAGCATACAAGTGCGGGACACTTTACTGTGTCAACAGTAAGTTGGGCCAGTGTAGTGATCTTTGTTGGTAACCTTCCCAGCAACCATCATCCTCTTTTGCTCCCAATAGAGTCAAAATCTTGTTCAGATATCTACTCCTTTTGCACAGAACCATGAGCCTTGGGGTTATCTTCATGGATGGGTGTGATGGTAATCCATCTCCTTGGCATTGATTGGTTCATACATGGATAGATGACTTAGTATTTTCCAAAAAGAAGGAAGTTTTTCTTCTGGGAAGTACTTAGTGAAAAAAAAATTAGTTCCATAGAAAGTTATAGGAAAGAAATAACTTCTCTTGTTCCATGTCTAGATGTAATACCTGATACCACTACAACAGTCCTGCTACCTACTTGAGGTTGAAGGAAATGCCCAGGATGGTAGACCAGAGAAAAGGAAAGAGCCTTAATATCACTGAACTTCCGAATCAATCAACTCGGTGGCCTTTTGTAGGCTGGACTCTGTTATGAAGCAAGAGAAATTTCCTTTTTTAAGATGATTTGAGTTGAGATTATATTTCTTATTTGAAATTATTCAATCATACAAATATTGGTAACATTCTCATTTCTAAAAAATAATCTGAGTTACTTATCTGACCCAACATAACTTCTAAGTGATCAAGCTAGTGATAAAACTTAGTTTTTCTGGCTTCAAGATTATTGGAGGATGGAAGGGAGGAATATCTGAAGTAAAATCTTTAAATAAAATGGGGGTGAATGACTGAAACAAAATTGCATTATGTGCTGGTAAATTATTTTAGAGCAATGGATAACATCTAATCCTTTATCTTATCTTTTTTCTTAGGCTTCAGTCAGCCTCTCGTTCCAGTTGTTAGATAGAATTTTCAGAAAGGAGGCAAATTGAAAAATGGAATGCTAACACTTTTTTAAAATTTAACTCTCACTGTGTCCTTCTTCTCCTTGATATCTCTGATTATTCACTGGTTTTTAGGGACTGAGGTTAACTAAGTTTCAAGAATATGACTTATATAACCCCCACATGGTTTCTGGCAACATTAAGCCCTCACTTTTACTTGGAAATAGTTGCCTCTGGTTTAGCCCTGATGTTCCATCATAGACAGAATGTCAGTTCCCTTGTTCACTCCATTACTCTCTAGAGTCTTCTAAATGGCCCACTTTACTCACTGGCTTCCCTGGGTCCTGTTGCCATTTGAGTTTACTGTTTGTGGATGTCATTTGAAATCACAATTCAATTTCTTTTTTCCTAATTTTAGAAATTTTCAGGCCAGGCACGGTGGCTCATGCCTGTAACCCCATCACTTCGGGAGGCCAAGATGGGTGAATCACCTGAGGCCAGGAGTTTGAGACCAGCCTGACCAACATGGTGAAACCCCATCTCTACTAAAAATACAAAATTAGCTGGGTGTGATTGCACATGCCTGTAAGCCCAGCTACTTGGGAGGCTGAGGCAGGAGAATCACTTGAACCCAGGCAGTGGAGGGTGCAGTGAGCTGAGATCATGCCATTGCACTCCAGCCTGGGCAATAAGAGTGAAAATCTGTCTCAAAAAAATAAAAATTAAATTAAATTAAATTAAATTAAATAAATAAAATTCCAGTCACCAGATAGCCAAGATAGTGAATTCCTGATTATAAATGCTCATATATTTGTGAGTGGCAAATTCAAATTGTACTAGAGAATTAAGCTAGACGATTCTTTCATTTTTCTCCCTGTAATGGAAAATTCAGAAAGATTCTACATGCACAAGATGAGGGTAGGGGGGAGAGTTGATTAACATTTTCCTATCCTATTTGCGAATTGACATGTTTTCCATAAAATATATCTCATTTCTGAAGAAATACTAATATTTGAGCAAAATAAAAAGTTATCTTTTGATTCTTAATCATTTTTACTCTTTAATTTCCTGAAACTATCTTATGTTCATGCTACAAACAATTTAGTTCATTTTAAGAATACATTTATTTATGGAAGCAGCAAGTAGAGAACATTGATTTGCAATTTCAGGAGCTTGAACTGAAAGCTGTTGATTACCGAGCCCTGTTTGTAACCCAGAGGAGAATTTTGAAACCTAATTTTTGGAGCTTTTGAACACAAGTCACTCCCACTAACTTCTACTGCCAGTGAGATGTTGGGAATTAAGTATGCATAGGAGTAATCTAAATTTCCTTCTGATAATGAATAGTAATTTAGTCTGTGTCTTCCGGGTATGGCCCCATGACTTGACTTAAAGCAGAGTTTACAATTCATAAACACGCCATCTTAAAAGTGTCTTCCCTAAGTTACAAGTTTCTGCTCTTCAGTTCTAATGCAGTCAAACTTGTCTCAAGTGAAAATTCCTTTAACCCGTATTCCACTTTTGTTTGACACTCAGTGACACACGATGGCCCTGACAGGTTTTCCTCAATAACTGACAGCAGGTGAAAGGGTCTGCATGGAAACTTCTGCTACTTCACAGTTATAAAGTTCACATGGGGAGGCTGATTAGGGGCATGAGAGGGCCAAACTCCACAATCCAACAAATCCCCTGAGGCTGAGATTTGGATTCTGAAGGGATTCTTTCAATGCTTGTCTGTATACAAAGAATGTAGCCACCTGAACTCTAGAAGACAGATGAGAAAAATAAAATTCACCCTAAGTTATTTCTAACTTCAAAGACTACGGAGTAAAAGCCCAAAGATAGAATAATGGGGTTGGAATTTAAAATATCTTACGTCTAGAAATTTATGCTTTTACTCCAGTTATTTTTTTTCTCTTATCGTTATTTATTTATTTATTTACTTAATTACTTATTTTTTGAGACAAGGTCTTGCCCTGTCACCCAGGCTGGAGTGCAGTGGTGCGATCTTGGCTCACTGCAGCCTTGACCTCCTGGGCTCAAGTGATCTTCTTGCTTTAGTCTCTGCAGTAGCTGGGACTACCAGTGTGCACCACCCTGCATGGCTAATTTTTTAATTTTTCTTTTTTTGGGGGGTGGGGACAGAGTTTCACTCTTGTCTCCCAGGCTGGAGTGCAATGGTGTGATCTCAGCTCACTGCAACCTCCACCTCCAGGGTTTATGCAATTCTCCTGTCTCAGCCTCCCAAGTAGCATGGTGCCTGCCACCATGCTTGGCTAATTTTTGTATTTTTTTAGTAGAGACAGGGTTTCACTGTGTTGGCCAGGCTGGTCCTGAACTCCTGACCTCAGGTGATCCACCCACCTTGGCCTCTCAAAATGCTGGGATAACAGGCATGAGCCACCACGCCCGGCCTACTTTTTCTTTTGTAGAGACAGGGTCTCACTATGTTGACCAGGCTGGTTTCAAACTCCCACCTTGGCCTCCAGGGTAGCTGGGACCACAGGCAGGAGCCACCATGCCCAGCTAATTTTTGTGTGTGTCAGGGGAGAGCAGTTTGTAAAGATGGGGTGTCGCTATTTTGCCCAGGCTGCTTTCAAACTCCTGGGCTCAAGTGTTCTTCCTGCTCCGGCCTCCCAAAGTGCTGGGATTAAAGATGTAAGCCTAATTTATTTCTTAAAACAGGAACACTGCATTACACTGTTAATAGAAATCCAGTAGTACCTACCATCATAGGAAGTAACTATAGGAAATAAGTATTGTGCAAATTAATATGATAAAATGTTACAAAATCACAGCTATTCTTTTCTGCAGAGGCTTCTCAGTCTGGGTTTGGCTCTCTCTCTAAAACATATTACAAATTCACTGATGGCAAATACTCTCTCTCTTTTATGTAATCAAAAGGTCTGAAGGACAATCGAAATGAAAATATGTGATTTAATGTTATTTAAAGAGGTATCTGGTGCCACCTAAAACCTAAAATCGCCCAGCATTGATGCAGGTGTGTGTGTCTTCTGCCCTGGGAAAGACTGATGTGGTCTAACAGCTTCATTTTACTGATGAGATTTTAGCACAGAGAGAGGATGTGATTTATTCAAGGTATTTGGCAAAAGAAGCACCAGAACACAAGTCTTCAGGGTCTAAGTTCACAATCATTTAGCTATACCTCATCAATTTCTAAAAATACCAAGAAGGATGTGAACAGACATTTCTCAAAAGAAGACATTTATGCAGCCAACAAACATATGAAAAAAAGCTCATAATCACTGGTCATTAGAGAAATGCAAATCAAAACCACAATGAGATACCATCTCACACCAGGTAGAATGGTGATCATTAAAAAATCAGGAAACAACAGATGCTGGAGAGGATGTGGAGAAATAGGAATGCTTTTACACTGTTGGTGGGAGTGGAAATTAGTTCAAACATTATGGAAGACAGCTTGGCAATTCCTCAAGGATCTAGAACCACAAATACCATTTGACCCAGCAATCCCATTACTGGGTATATACCCAAAGGATTATAAATCATTATAATATAAAGACACATGCACACGTATGTTTATTGCAGCACTATTCACAATAGCAAAGACTTGGAACCAATCCAAATGCCCATCAATGATAGACTGGATAAAGAAAATGTGGCACGTATACACCATGGAATACTATGCAGCCATAAAAAATGAGTCCGTGTCCTTTGCAAGGACGTGGATGAAGCTGGAAACCATCATTCTCAGCAACACAGGAACAGAAAACCAAACACTGCATGTTCTCACTCATAAGTGGAAGTTGAACAATGAGAACATATGGACAGAGAGAGGGGAACATAACACACTGAGGCCTGTTGGGGGGTGGGGGTTAGGGGAGGGAGAGCATTAAGAGAAATACCTAATGTAGATGACGGATGGATGGGTGCAGCAAACTACCATGGCACATGTATACCTATGTAACAAACCTGCACATTCTGCACAAGTATCCCAGAACTTACAGTATAATTTTTTAAAAAAGAAAAATAAATTAATAAAAGAAATTCTGAAATCTTGAGATTAGAATACACATTACATGGATGTGTGCATGCTAGAACAATCTATGTACCTGAGCATTCTATGTATACCTATGTAACAAACCCGCACGTTCTGCACACATATCCCAGAACTCAAAGTATAATTTAAAAAAAGAAAAATAAGAAAAATAAATCTATGAAAAAAGAAATTCTGAAATCTTGAGATTAGAATACAAATTACATGCATCTGTGCTAGAACTATCTATGTACCTGAGCATTCTATGCCCAGCAATGTGGATAGACATCAGTTTATAGAACAGAAATGGGTTGGCACGGTGGCTCATGCTTGTAATCCCAGCACTTTGGGAGGCCGAAGTGGGTGGATCACCTGAGGTCAGGACTTCGAGACCAGTCTGGCCAACATGATGAAACCCTGTCTCTACTAAAAATACAAAAAAAAAAAAAAAAAAATAGCCTGGCATGGTGGCAGGCCCCTGCAATCCCAACTACTTGGGAAGCTGAGGCAGGAGAATCACCTGGACCCAGGAGGTGGGGGTTACAATGAGCCAAGATTGTGCCATTGTACTCCAGCCTGGGCAACAAGAGTGAAACTCCATCTCAAAAAAAAAAAAAAAAAAGTACAGAAATGGTACATGCCCTTGTGAAGTTTATAACTTCACAACTAGTAAGTTATAAACTTACTAGTAAATACATCATTTTAAAACATTGATTTGTTAATTTCAGAAGCTCTAACTGAAAGTTGTTGATTCCTGAACCTTATTTGTAATCCAGAGGAAAATTTTGAAACCTAACTCTTGGAGCTTTTGAACACAAGTCACTCTCAGTAACTTTTTTTTTCCTGTCACCTAATAACCAACCATCCTAAACTTCACGGTATAAAACAGGGGACAGCAAAGAAGGCCCCAAATCAAAATCTGATTGGCTGTCACATTTTGTAAATAAAGTTTTATTGAAACACAGCCACACCCATTCATTTACTATTGTATATGGTTGCTTTTTCACTATACTGGCAGAATTAAATAATTGCAGCAGGGACTGAATGACCCACAAAGACTAAAATATTTCCTGGTTCGTCCTTTACAGCAAAAGCTTGCAACCCCTTGGTGGAAAACAATAAAATATGTTTGAGCCAACTTAAGTGCCCAGTACTGTGCTGGGTTAAAGACAGACACTGATATTATAAACAGACCTAACGTCCATCCCTGCAAAGTGTACACTCAAAGACCCAGTTTTTGGGGTATTTTTTGTTTGTTCATTGTTCTTTTCTTAGCACCATCACCAATAAATACATGCAAAACTAAGAACTTAATGATCTCATATAGAGAAAGCGTGTTGCTCACTCCAGATGTAATAAAAGTCCATTGTCTGGATGCAAATGCTTCTTGTGGGTGTTGATTCATGATTTTCATTCACTAAAATGACCCTGCACCTTCGCCTCAGTTTCTCCACTGTGAAACAGAATCCTTTCTTTCTCTGAACATGTTAGCGTTTGGAACTGGCAGATCATGGTAGTACCTGGAGGTGAAGAAAGACTTGCTTCATTTCTGCCTATAGAAAATCGTTGTGTCTTCAAGTAAAACTTGATTTTTTTTCCTTATATTTCCAAACAGACTTTATGAGTGTGTTTAGGATTAGAAGTAATCACATAAAACATTAAAATGATCCTGACTTCTTAGTCTGATACAAAGGCAACTTGTCTATTTATGGACTCTGTTTGCGTATATAACTCCAATTAGTTAAATGTGAATGTTATCCACGCACCATTACTGACTCACGGCCTCCAGCTTTTTTTGGGAGAAAAAAATTATACTTACTTTTTCCCTATCATTAGTTTCCTTCCTAAAATTGTAATTCAAAGCTGCAGTTTTGATTCCTTGAAAAGCTGAGACATTAATGGTGGGTGGAAAGACATCCATCCATCTTAGGCTGATAATGCCCTTAATACGCCAGGGGCTTTGTGAGCCATGGCTTATGATCAATTATGCAAGTTCATTCTTCCACACCTCTAGGCTCAGATGTGAAGTCCATGTCGTAAGTAGTGAGAGCTGGTCCCTATGGTCTTAAGTTGAAAGGTTTGCTAAAAACACTAAGAACCAGAAGCCACTGGCCCACCAAGCCAAAGGCACGGCATGCAGACCACTCCTCTGGAACATGTCAGTGCAGCTCAAATCCCAGACCAAATCTGGAGGTTTTAGCCTGATGTCTGTAGGTTACATTGGTTCTCAAAGTTCTGTTTCTGAGCCTCTTTGCTTCTTTCAATGTTGATTTACACAATGTTAAAAACTGAAATAGTTGCTAACATAAAAATAAAGAGATTTCAAATCTAATTTAAGATTTCTGGTATCTCTTGAAAAAATCAGAGTATCTGTTAACACAAGGACCCCACGTCTTAATGATGACAAGGTCACTCTCCTTTTGCCTTTGACATCCGGCCACTGTCCCTTCCTTTACCTGAAGCTCACAGACATTTTCCTATCCAATGCCTCATTCTAAAGTTGTACACGTGCATAACATTCATACTTACTGATGTGGTTTGGCTGTGTCCCCACCCAAATCTCACCTTGAATTGTAATAATCCCCACATGTCAAGAGTGGGGCCAGGTGGAAATAATTGAATCATGGAGGCAGTTTCCCCCATACTGTTCTCATGGGAGTGAATAAGTCTCATGAGATCTGATGGCTTTATAAATGGGAGTTCCCCTGCACAAGCTCTCTTGCCTGCCACCATGTAAGACATGACTTTAATGGACTCAAACCTCTTTTTCTTTATAAATTACTCAGCTTCAGATATGTCTCTACTAGCAGCATGAGAACAGACTAACACACTTACATATCTAATCAGAGCCCATTTATTTTTCAGTGACATTATTTACAATGCCTTCCTTCAAAAACAAACAAATAAGCAAACATCATTTGGGGATGCCCACAGCCACTTGGCAGTTACTCCCCATGTCGACAGCAAGCATTCTGGGGTCAGCCTGCCTGGTGTAAAACCTGGCCCTGATGCTTGTACATCTGTATGGCAGCCGGCAAGCCCAGCTGCTTCTCTCTGCATCAGTTTCCTCATCTGTAAAATGGAGATAATATTAATATATACTTTGTAGAGTTACTGCAAGGGATTCATGGGATAATTTGTATGAAGCGCACAGGGCACAGCTTGGAAGAACAGAACCTCCTGACACAGGTTGGCAGTTGCTACCGTTATAACCATGACTACCTTACCACAAATGACCTCCTGCTGGTGACTGCTGTTCTCAGTTCTTCTGTCCCATGACTGACTTTCGCCTGCACTCTGTTGGGCATCGAATCACACTCTAAACTGCTTTACAGACTCTAGCTGAAGTGATTTCACCACAAATAAGATCATGTCGTCTAGACTCTTCAGCAGCTTTAGGGTCTTTCTGTTGCTCTTATAACGAAGACAGTGCAACCCACTGGAGTCCATGATGGCCAGTGTGGTCTAGCGCTTGCACTTCTCCAGCCTCAGCTCCTCCCTGCCCCAGCTCCCTTTGTGTTTCCATCCGCAGGGACCTTCTTTGGGTTCCTGGTATTCACACAGATTCTGTGCCCCAGGCCTTTTGCTCATGCTGCACTCCTTTTGCGGGTGCTCTCCTCTCCCCTCTGCAGCTCCTAAACATCTACTTGTTCTTCTCTTGACATCTCAGTGATGTAAGATATTTCTCCTCAGTCCTTTTGCAAGCTAGGGACCTCCAGCTGGTGATGCCCCACCAGGCCCCACTCAGCCATGCTGGCATGCCCCTGCTCACCTGTGTTATAGCTTGTGCCTGCATTCAGTGGTTCCCAAGCTCTTGTCCCACACCCAAGAAGAATGAGGATATGTGGGACATTGAAGGGAGGAGGGCAGAGAAGAATTTTATTGAGTGACGGAACAGCTTTCAATGGAGAAGGCATGTTGGGGATGGTCCCCGACCCCAGCAGTTGGGTGATTCTCACCTCCCCATGTAGCTGGGTCTGGGGCTTTTTACGGCCCTAGATAGTATTGGAAAAGGCAACATTCGATTAGTTAAAAGGAATTATTCAGAAAGAACCAATCGGGAAAGGGCAGGCAAACAGGAACAGAAGTTCTCACTCTGGGTCATGGGTTTCATTTGGGATCAGCAGTCTGGGCTTTTGGCCTTCATTCTGTTTTTGGCTTGAAGGTGGGGTTTCAACCGAGATCCATCCCTGTCTGTCTAGGCATTTTGCTGCCTCCTGTCACTATCATTAGTAGACACATTCCCACAGAAGCCTCCTTGACATCCCAAAGGGATGCAATCTTCCCTCTTCTGCTATTAGGGGACCATGTGCTGCTCCCTAGCAGCTCTTGTCACTGATAAAAAGATAAGTTTCATGTTTGACTCTGAGATCGTTTGCTTATTTTTCCTTCATTATACTGGGGCAGAGGCCAAGTCAAGTTCCATACACTCTTATGTCCTCAGGACCCAGCATAGAGCTGGGGCCCAGTAAACATGGGACCAAAGGAACAACTGACAGGGGCTGACTTATATTTAATTAAGTCAGTTGAACTCATTTAAGTCCTAAAGTGAAGCTCTTTGTAATGCAAATAGCTGCCCCTGATTTATTTGTAATGTTGGTTTTATTTTCACATAGCAAGTTACTAGCAGTGAATTATGTCCTCAGTCGTAGTCTTTTGGGAAATAAATGAACTAATTCTAGTTTAGTTGGGGTTTCTCACCTTAAAAATAGCTCACATTTCATGTGCCACTAACAGTTTTAAACAAAGTAATTTGGTTCTGTGTTTGCCCTGAAGAGAGCAATCTTATTCTACATGACAGTCTTCTGGAAAAATGATCCTGGTGAAGTGATTTTTTTTCTCTTTCCCTCCTTACCCCATGTACCCCAAAGCCTAGAGATCTATAATTGAAATGACAATCGTCCCCCAAAAGTCTTCATGTCCTAATCTCTGGAACCTGTGATTATATTACTTTCAGTGGCAAAATGGGATTAAGGTTGCAGATGGAATTAAGGTTGCTAACCATCTGACCATGGGATGGGGAGATTATCCTAGGATTATCCTGATTAAGGCCAGGTGCTGTGGCTCACATCTGTAATCCAGCATTTTCAGAGGCCAAGGTGGGTGGATCACTTGAGGTCAGGGGTTCAAAACCAGGCTGGCCAACATGGTAAAACCCCGTCTCTACTAAAAGTACAAAACAATTAGCTGGACATGGTGGCAGGGACCTGTGATCCCATCTACTCAGGAGGCTGAGGCAGGAGAATCGCTTGAACCTGGGAGGTGGAGCTGCAGTAAGCCAAGATCTTGCCACTGCACTCCAGCCTGGGTGACAGAGCGAGACTCCATCTCAAAACAAAAACAAAATGATTATTCAGGCAGTCCCGATGTAATCACAAGGGAACTTACAAGTGGAAAGGGAGGCAGAAGAGAGAGGGCAGAGAGATGGCAGCATGAGACGAACTCAGCTAGGAGTTGCTGGCTTTGTAGATGGAAGGGGCCAGGAGCCAAGGAATACAGGCAGCTGCTAGTGTAGCAGTCTTTCTCTCCTTAGCTCAGCTAGGTCCAAGTTCTTGTCTCACGACCAGGAAAATTTAGGCTCATTGACACCAGAGAGTAAGTGGAGTATAATTTATTAAGCAAAAGGAAAATTTTCGGTGGATATGGAATGAGAGGGGTGGTTCCCCCACCCAAAGGCAGGAAAGTGCCCCATGTGGCTGCATCTGGGGCCTTTTAAGGACTCAGAATGGAGAGTTTGTGCTGATTGGTTTGTGAGTGTGCAAAAAAGGTTAAAGCAAAGACACCATTCAAAAGTGGGCAGAACAGTGTAGAAAACCAATTAGGAAAGTGTAGGTATATGTAAAATAGGTAAAGGGTGGGGATCAATCCGAGGAAAGTTCACCAAATAAGAAGATGAGTTCTCAATCTGGTCTGATGATTTAACTTGTGGCTTGGTTTTTAGGCCTTACACTGTCTTTGGCTTGGAGATGGGGTTTCACCAAGGACCTGCCCCTATCTGCCTAGGCATTTGGCTGCCTCCTGCCTCTCTCACTACAAGCTGGAAACCCCAAGAAAATGGATTATCCCCTATAATGTCCAGAAAGAAACACAGTCCAGCAGACACCTGAGCTTTAGGCCAATGAGCTCTGTGCAACACTTCTTCTGCCTTTCAGAATTGTAAGTTAATAAAGTTAAGTTTTAAGCCACTAAGTTTGCAGAAATTTCTTACAGCAGCAATAGGAAAATAATCCAGGTACACCACATGTTAGTGCATCTCACTTTATTGTGAGATGTTGTGAGATGGGATATTGTGCATATTCCCAAATATGCATTTTTTACAAATTGAAGGTTGTGGCAATCCTGCCTCAAGCAGTTCTACAAGTGTCATTTTTCCCAACAGCGTGTGCTCGCTTCAAACTCTGTGTCACCTTTTGGTAACTCTCACAATATTTCAAACGTTTTCATTATTATTATATCCATTATGGTGAACTGGGATCGGTGATGTTACTATTGAAATTGTTTTGGGATGCCACAAATGGCACCCACACAAGATGATCAATTTAATTGATAAATGTATATGTTCTGACTGCCTCACCAAGCAGACATGTCCCTGTCTCTCCTCCTCTCCTCAGGTCTCTCTATTCCCTGAGAAAAACCAATCCTGAAATTAGGCCGGTTAATAACCCAACAACAGCCTGCCTGTGTTCAAGTGAAAGAAGAGTTGGATGTCTCTCACTTTTAATCAGAAGCTAGAAAAGATTAAGCTTAGTGAGGAAAGCATGTTGAAAGCCAAAATAGGCTTAAATCTAGACCTCTTATGCCAAACACTTACCCAAGTTGTAAAACCAAACAAAAACTGTTTGAAGGACATTAAAAGTGATACTCCAGTGAACACACGAATGATAAGAAAGCAAAACAGTCTCCTTGGTGATATGGGGAAAGTTTTAGTGGTCTGGATAGAAGAACAAACCAGCTACAACATTCCCTTAAACTGAAGCCTAACACAGGGCAAAGTTCTGACTCTCTTTAATTCTATGAAGGCTGAGAGAAATGAGGAAGTTACAAAAGAAAAGTTGGAAGCTAGCAGAGGTTAATTTATGAGGTTTAAGGAAAGAAGCCATCTCCAGAACTTAAAGGTGCAAGGTGAAGCAGCAAGTGCTGATGGAGAAGCTCAAGCAAGTTATCCAGAAGATCTAGCTAAGACCATTGATGAAGGCTACATTAAACAACAGATTTTCAATGTAGACAAAACAGCCTGCTATTGTAAGAAGATGTCTTCTAGGACCTTCATAACTAGAGAGAAGTCAATGCCTGGCTTCGAAGCTTCAAAGTACAGGCTGATGCTTCTGTTGGGAGCTAATGCAGCTGGTGACTTTATGTTGAAGCCAATACTCCATTCTGAAAATCCTAGGGCCCTTAAGAATTATGTTCAATCGACTCTGCCTGTATTCTATAAATGAAACAACAAAGGCTAGGTGACAGGACATGTGTTTACAGCATGCTTACTGAGTGTTTTAGGCCTGTTGTTGAGACCTACTGCTCAGGAACAAAAAGATTCCTTTCATATTACTGCTCATTGACAACGCACCTGGTCACCCAAGAGCTCTGATGGAGATGTACAAGGAAATTAATGTAGTTTTCATGCCTGCTAATACAACATCCATTCCACAGCCCATGGATCAAAGAGTAATTCTGGTTTTAAAGTTTTATTATTTAAGAAATACATTTTGTAAGGATATAGGTGGCTTAGATGGTGATTCTTTTGATGGATCTGGGTAAAGTAAATTGAAAGCCTCCAGAAAGCATGCACCTTTCAAGATGTCATTAAGAACATCTATGATTCACAGGAGGACCAAATATCAACACTAACAAGAATTTGGAAGAAGATGATTCCAACTCTCATGCATGACTTTGAGGGATTCAATACTTCAGTAAAGGAAGTAACTGCAGATGTGGTAGAGATAGCAAGAGAACTAGAATTAAGAGTGGAGCCTGAAGATATGACTGAATTGCTTAAATTTCATGTTAAAACTGTAACAGATGAGAAAAATTGCATCTTACGGGTGAACAAAGAAAATGGTTTCTGAGTTGGAATCTACTCCTGGGGAAGATGCTATGAACATTGATGAAGTCACAACAAATAATTTACAATATTATATAAAGTGAATTGATAAAGTAGCTGCAGGGTTTTACAGGATTGACTCCAATTCTGAAATAAGTCCTACTGTGGGTAAAATGCTATCAAACACCATGCATGCTACAGAGAAATTTTTTGTGTAAAGAAGAGTTGGTCTACGTGGCAAACTTCACTGTGGTCTTATTCCACAAAATTGCCACAGCCACCACCCTGATCAGTCAACCACCATCAACATCTAGGCAAGACCCTCCATCAGCAAAAATACTATGATTGGCTGAAGGCTCAGATGAGCATTAGCATTCTTTTAGCAATAAAGGGATTTTTAAAATTAAGGTATAGTTATTGTTTTTTCGACATAATGCTATTGCACACTTCATAGACTAGAATATAGTGTGAAGACAAGTTTTAAATGCACTGAGAAACCAAATACATTTGTGTAACTTGCTTTATTGCAATATTCAGTTGATTGTGGTGGTCTGGAACCAAGCCCACAATATCTCCAAGGTATGCCTGTGCAAGGTCTACACCAACAACTCACACAGCAAAGTCATGAAATCCACTCTGTAGGCCAGATTAAGGTTTCCCTGTCACATGATTGTGCCCAATGAAATTAATTCTTTCTTCCTTTACAAAGGCTTTACAGCACATTGTACATCTAATATAGCAGATTCTCTAAACTGCCTCTCTAACATTCCTTGTCTACTTTCTTATTGGCTTTACAGAACCCATATTTTCTTCTGAACATTTTATGCCTAGCTTAATTTTTTTCCATCACCACATTCTCCCTTGCACCTGGGGTGGCCAGTTGATCCCATTCTGGCCCATGAGACACTGTCATAAGTTTATGGAAGGGTGGTAGTTCTGGAAATGGTTTTGCTGTCCTAATAAAGGGCAAGACATGACTGTCATTACTCCTTTTACATTCTTCTTATTCTTTTTTTTGGGGGGGGGATGGGAATGTGATTGCTGGAACTTCAGCAGCCATTTGCAACTATGAGGAAAATGTCCATAAAATTGAAAAGGCATTCACCTAGATTATACTGAGGAGCTGCTAAAGTAAAGCCAAAAAATCTCTACATTTATTGATATAAGAAAAATAATTCTCTATGTATGCTATTATGGTTATCCAATTGCAATTGTGATTGATACCCAATAGCAAAGTACAATACTCACCACACTGTGCAGTCATTACAGAGAATAATGCAAATGTCCATCTCTTCTAAGTTCTTGGGGGGCATTCTCCATTCCTCTGCATTGCTCAAAGTCCCCAGCACAGTGTCTGCTCTGCTTTCTTAAGTCAATGGTGAGAAATATCCAAGTTGATTGAGTTATCTACAAGAATACTGAAAATTATCCAAGGAATCTAATTCAACAAGAATTTATAAACTCTTGCTGTGTGCCAATCATTGTTCCTGATTCTGGACTTAACAGGAGAATAAAGTACTACTCCTACCCTAAAAAAATTCACAGTGTCCTGGAGAGAAAAAACAATTTCTCAAATACAAGGTGATAAGTGTTGCAATAAGGATATGTAAAATATAGCAGCAACACACCATTGACAAAGGTGTTTGTCATTAACTGCTTTCAGCTACAGCAAATGCAGTCTCAACATGCTTATTCAAAAGAGGTTCATTATGTCCATTAGGAAGACTACACACCAAGTGGGTCCCCGAGTGTGTTGACTCAGTGGCTGAACCACGACAACAGGGGCTGAGGTTCTCAGTTTCTCTGTTGAAGTTCGTGATGGTTTCCTCTACAGGTTGGTAGCAAGAGGGTGGCAGAAGTTCCAGGAGCTCCATAGAGTTACGGAAATATTCACAGAACTGTTTCCTTCTTTCTCGGCTGTCCCTCGGGAGAAAGGAACATTTTCCTGGAATTCCATAGCAGAATTCCCCTCCCACCTTATTAATCAGAGTTGGGAGCTGGATGAGGAAATGGGATTACCTTGGTACAAATCAAACTCATGCTGGTGCCAGATTGAGGGGTCAGGTCCCCAGAGGCACGTGGATGGGGTCAGAAAGAGGGGTTACCTTCAGTTAGGAAGAAAGACAAGAGTGATAGGTTGCGGGAAGGCAACTCACACTTTCCACTATGGACATGCAGTTCTATAGAGATTCAGCATTTGATAGTTGGGTAGTTTGTTTAAATTACAAACATTTAATAGTATACTTACAGACCGGGCATGTTGGCTCACACCTGTAATCCCAGCACTTTGTGAGGCTGAGGTGGGTGGATGACTTGAGGCCAGGAGTTCTAGACCAGCTTGGCCAACATGGTAAAACCCTATCTCTACTAAAAATACAAAAATTAGCTGGGAGTGGTGGTGGTCGCCTGTAATCCCAGCTACTCGGAAGGCTGAGGCAGGAGAATTGCTTGAATCCAGGAGGCCGAGTTTGCAGTGAGCTGAGATCATGCTACTGCATTCCAGCCTGGGCAACAGAGCAAGATTCTGTCTCAAAACAAACAAACAAATATAGTACATTTACATTTAATAGTTAGATAGTTTGTTTAAACTACAAAACATTAGGGAATGAGTTATAGTGAGTCACCCAAAAGTTACAAAGCTGTCTTTTGCTTGTACCTATTTTTTAGTATTTTGGAAATTTTTATGCTAACTCCTCATTTTTCAGTGTTTCTTCTTCTTCTTCTTCTTCTTCTTCTTCTTCTTCTTCTTCTTCTTCTTCTTCTTCTTCTTCTTCTTCTTCTGCTTCTTCTTCTTCTTCTTCTTCTCCTCCTTGTCCTCCTCTTCCTCCTCCTCCTCCTCGTCCTCTTCCTCCTCCTCCTCCTCCTCCTTCTCCTTCTCCTTCTCCTTCTTCTTCTTCTCCTTCTTCTTCTTCTTTTGTTCTTTTTTTGAGATGGAGTATTGCTCTGTTACCCAGGCTGGAGTGCAGTGGTGCGATCTCAGCTCACTGCAACCTCTGCCTTCCAGGTTCAAGTGATTCTCCTGCCTCAGCCTCCCAAGTAGCTAGGATTACAGGTGCGTGCCACCACACACAACTAATTTTTGTATTTTTAGTAGAGACTAGGTTTCACCATGGTGGCAAGGCTGGTCTCGAACTCTTGACCTCAAGTGATCTGCCCACCTCGGCCTCCCAAAGTGGTGGGATTACAGGCATGAGCCACTGCACCCAGCCCTCAGTGTGTTTTTTAATATAATAAAGGACTGAAGATGTACCACAGCTTTTAAGAAGAAAAAGCATTTTCAAATGGAAACTAAAGATTATTTCAACATAATCCTGTCTGCTTCTGGAAGAGTGTGAAGATTATTCTAAAAAATTCAATTAAGCAATTCAATTAACCAGTGTGTATTGAGTATTCACTACGTACCAGACAAGTTGGCATTTGAAAATTTAAACATAAGGAAAAGAGTCATGCTGATTGTCATTTCTTCCACATGCACAATTTAGAAAATTGATGCCACTTTATCAAACCACAGCTATTTACTGCATCCCTACTATGTGCAAGGCATGTTCCTAGAAGCACTGACAATTTGAGAAATCATTTCAATAGGGATAAATAAAAATGATTTTTAAAATGTATTTGCTTTGATGGATGAGTTGATTATCGATTGAGATCAAGTTATTTAAGATTCAGTTTAAGGAGGAAGCTATAAATATTTAGGATTCTTGAAGTTGAAAGTGCTTGAGCACATGGAACTGAAAGGAAGGATGAGGAGTCATTTAGCTCTTACATAGGAGAAAATAGGAATTAGACGCTATCCCCGCAGTATCAGTTCTCCCAGGAAAAACTACCAGGCTTGCTCCTTGCCCCTGAGGTTTGCGGTCTCCAAAGTGTTTCTTCATCCCTAATAATTCAATTTCTAAGGGGCTCCCTTTACATAAAACATAATGTGACGATGCCCCTAGAGTCACATAACCAAGTGACCTGCCTCTACCACACACACCAAAATGCTCTAAATTCACCTCCCTGGTACAGAGGTATTACAGGAACCTGCAATTTGCCACCTGGAATCCCCACAACACCAGACGCGCAGCTGGCCCTGACCTGACCTCATTAAAAACACTCCAGTAAATGGATTCCTCCATCAGCCATCTCACCTAGACCTCAGCGTGCTGCCCTGTCCCCTGTGCTTGCCTCTCCATCCTAAAACCCTGCAAGGACTGCACCTTGAAGCCAGCAGCTTAAATGCTTCCACAGCTTCTCCATTCTGAACCCAATACCAGACACCTCTTTTGCACTTAGCAGCTGTGAGGTCCTCAGACAGGTGGGTGGAACCCAGAGGGTGCAAGTAGAAACCGAGACTTGTTAGTGTCTGGTTTTAATATATTGGGAAGGACCCCAGATGTCATGCAATAGCCTCTCATTCAGATTCAGAGAGGAGACATGGGGAGCCCAACCTCACAGCCTCTGCCTCTGAATTACAATACGGAATTCTTTCTACTACCGCTGAATTTCCCTGTGCAGGTAGGGGGTGGGGGAAGTTCAGGTGTCCTGGGTAAGGGGACATGATATCTTCATTTCAGCCATTGGACAGTTTGTTTTTCAGCAAACATCCTGTGTCTCTGGGACAGAGCACTTGGGCTGTGCTCAGAAGAAGGGCCCAGACCTTCTACACATGGCTTCAGGGAGAGATGACACTACTGATCCGGTCACATTCTGCCTTCTCCTTCCTTTTTCTTTCTTTCTTTCTTTTTTTTTTTTTTTTTGAGATGGAATCTTGCTCTGTTTCACCCAGGCTAGAGTGCAGTGGTGCAATCTTGGCTCACTGCAGCCTCCACCTCTGGGTTCAAGCAATTCTCCAGCCTCAGCCTCTCGAGTAGCTGGGATTACAGGCACGCACCACCACACCCAGCTAATTTTGTATTTTTAGTAAGGACAGGGTTTCACCATGTTGGCCAGGCTGGTCTTGAACTCCTGACCTAAGGTGATCCACCCACCTCGGCCTCCCAAAATGTTGAGATTACAGGTATGAGCCACCACACCTGGCCATCCTTCCTGTTTCTTGAATTTCCACAGAAACAGATTTTATTCAGGTCTTATCTAGGGACTTTTTGAGATATAGAAGATAGGTAATGCCAACAATTAGTTGTGATTTGGATCAGGGACTAATAAGGTAAAGTGACATTCTCTCAGATTCAAAAAGTGATTCAGAAAAATACACAATTGCAGGTGCTGGGTCTCTAGGCTCTTCCCCAGGTGCCTGGATTCCAACTTTTGTAGCCTAAATGTTCAACTGACAGAACAGGCCATCTCTGTGAAGGTTTGCCAGGGAAGAAAGTACAAAGCCAGGCAAACATCGTGGTTGCTCCCACTTATGTTTTTCCTAAAATAGTATTGCAAACTTAATGTGTATGTGAACCAGGCCCTCCTGCTTCAGCTCCTGGTTCCATTGCTATTGGGGTCTGGGGTTTCTGGCTTGAAAATGAAGTATCTTAGAATTAAACAGGGGCAGTCCAAAAGTTTTTCTTATTAGCAGCCTAAATTAACACCCTGGCCAAAATCATTCTGCTATTTTTCTAATATATGCTTAAATGCCATATTCCAATGTACTCCAATCTCTAGAACCAGATAGTACTAGTCAGATCCCTAACACCAAGGTTTCTTTACTCCTGTAAAAGGCATGGTCAGCATGAGGTTCGCTTTTGAACACCGGGGCTGGTGGGGGCAGGGCAGGGGCTTGTGTGACTATTTTCCCTAACTGTCCATTTCAACTAGGTCTTTCTGGATCCTTTAGAGAAATCAACAATTGTTACAGTAGGTGTAGATTGAGAGACACAGGGCACAGAAAGGTCTGGAGAATGTGTAAGTGGAGCCTAGTCATAGACTCTTTAGGAACTAATAACATCAGCCACATGGTGATTAGAAGGCCTTTCCCCTGACCCCTCCTCAATCAAGTAATTCATAACCAACAAACCTCCAAGCTCACTGCAAACACTACTTACTGCTTAATTTTTTTTAAAAAAGAAATACTGTGATGGTAGGGAAGATGGAAAATGCAGTCTTATAATAAATATATTCCTGTAAACACAGGTTTGTAGCTTTAAAGACTTTTGTAAAAGATCTCACCAGGTGTGGTAGTGGCTCACTCCTGTAATCCCAGCACTTTCGGAGGCCAAGATGGGGGGATTGCTTGAGCCCAGGAGTTCAAGACCAGCCTGAGAAACATAGTGAGACCCTGTCTCTTCTAAAAATTAAAATTAAAAAAAAAAAATAGCCAGGCATAATCACACATATATGTGGTCCCAGCTACTTGGCAAACTGAGGTGAGAGGATGGCTTGAGCCCAGGAGGTCAAGGCTGCAGTGAGTTATGATGGTGCCACTGCACTCCAGCCTGGGCAACAGAGCAAGACCCTGTCTCAAAAAAATGTGTATATATATTTATATATAAAATGTGTGTTTATATATATATATATATATATATATATATATGTAAACATTGTGTAAGTATGTAAGTATGTATCTAATATGTGTATATATGTGTGTGTGTATATATACACACACATATACATATATATGTATATGGCCAGGAGCTGTGACTCACACTTTGGGATCCCAACCTTTTGGGAGGCCGAGGCAAGTGGATCCCTTGGGCCCAAGAGTTCAAAGCCAGCTGGGGCAACATAGCAAAACCCTACCTGTACAAAAAAAAATACAAAAATTAGCCAAGTATGGTGGCACGTACCTCTAGTCCCAGTTACTCTGGGGGCTGAGGTGGGAAGATTGTTTAAGCCTGGGAGGCAGAGGTTGCAGTGAGCTATGATCATGCCACTGCACTCCAGCCTGGGCCATAGAGTGAGACAATGTCTAAAGAAAAAAAAATCTCACAGTGAAACATAGCAGATGATTACTCTGTTTCCTAAATTTAAAATGAAGTATTTAAAAAGTAATTTCACGTGACTCCAAAGTCAGATCATTACTAGCCACAGAGCAGTTAAAACTTCTGTGTCCTCATTCTGAGAATAAGAGAGATCAGTGAGAAGATTTTAGCATTCACTGAGTGCTTTATTTGTACCATGCCAGCTACATGTACCATTTCTATAAATTATCACAACAACCCCGTGAATTAAAAACTATTCACCCATTTTACTGATAGAGGAATTGAAGCACAATTAGAGCACCAAACCAGGCCAATCTGACTCCTTAGCCTGCAATGTTGAGATCTGTACCTCCTGTATTTCTAAATATAGGACTGATACAGAAGGGCTCCTGACTGAACCCCACCGTTAAGCCTGGAACCGCAGCCCTAAGTGAAAACGGCTGACCCTGTTTTTCCACCCAAATTTTGCCTTTTTGATCTACCATGCCCCTATCCTGTGCCCATAAAAAGACTTCAGCTGACACAGCAACACAAGTGGCTGAGTGTCAGGGATACAAGTGGCTGAGCACTGGGGATACCAGTGGCTCAGCAGCAAGGATACAGGTGGCTGAGTACTGAGGATACAAGTGGCTAAGCAGGAAGCAGAGAAGCAACTGAGTGTCAGAGACTGGATAGACACAGCTAACCTCAGATGGTGCAGCTTTGGAGAGGGCCCCAGCGAGAGATGGCCAGACTTCAGGGAAAGATCACCTTCTTCCCGCACCATCCCCTTTCCAACTCCCCATCCTGCTGAGAGCCACTTCCATCGTCCAGTAAAATCCTCCTTATATGCTACCCATCAATCCACTCATGTGACCTGATTCTTCCTGGATGCTGGACAAGAACCCAGGTGCCAACAGGGCAGGGGCTGTCACCCTGACCCTCCACTGAGCTGGTTGGCACTTGGCCAACCCTGGGTGACAGAGCTGAAAGGGCATTGGTTGTAATACAGTTGGACACTGCTGTGGGGCTGCACAGAGCCTGCTCCCACCAGAGAGGAGTGACTGGCTGGTTCCAGTATTCATTCGCTCCAGTTCCCACACTTGCTCCCTCACACACTCCCTCTCACAAGGGGTTTGAGCCTGTGGCAACCGAGTAAACGAGCCACACCCCTGTCGCAAGTTCCACAAAGGGATCAAGGGAATTATCCCATCTCGGAACCAGCCCTTTAAGTTTGCTGATGAGCTTTTCTTTTGGTTTGAGTTCTTCAGGAAGCAGGCCCTATGTGAAGGATTGCAGTGCCTGTGATTTATGAAAGAGTTAATCTCAGGACAACAAGAAGTAAGAGGGAGAAGAAAAGCAAGGATGTGATTCAAGGTAAAGTCTCAACCCTGTCTGATCCTACAGGATGTGTGAAACCACACCTCAGTCTATACTGCCTAGAAACAAAGGGCCAGGGCTTCTGTGTCCCCACACAATTCAGCCACTGGCTATGGGTTGCTCCAGGGGTGTGTAAATGCCCAGGTGCTTGTCCTGTCCCAAGGTGAGGCTGCCCTAGTAGCTCAAGGCTCTCCTTGGAGTGCCACTACTCTGAGGCGTTCAAAGAGCACAGAATACTGGCAAAGGGGACTCGAGAGGACCTGGGAAGGACACCTGTTCTGAGCACTTTCTACTCATCCTGTTGGTGAGGGAGGGACTCCTCACCCTAAATAGAAGACAGGTGAACACATAGCACCTGAAACTGCACAGGTGAGGTAGACTGTAGCTTGTGAGCCACATATACTCACAGAATGGGAGAGGTCAGTGAACACCAGACACCCCTCAGGGGAACACAGAGACTGCAATCAAGAACCCTGCAGCACCACTCACAATAGCAACACATGGACTCAACCTAGATGCCCATCAATGAAGGACTGAATAAAGAAAATGTGGTACAGATACACCATGGAATACTATGCACCAGGAAATACTGTGTATCTATGTAGCTATGAGATCATGGCCTTTGCAGCAACATGGATACATCTGGAGGCCGTTATCCTAAGTGAACTAAGGCAGGAACAGAAAACAAAATACCACATGTTATCACTCAAAGTGGAAGCTAAACATTGCATACACATGGACTCAAATAAGGAAGCAGTACTTACTGGGACCTTTTAAGGGTGCAGGATGGGGAAAGGGTGAAGAATGAAAAACTACCTATCAGGTATAATGCTGATTACCTAGGTGACAAAATTATCTGTACGCCAAATCCCTGAGACATGCAATTTATCCATGTAACAAACCTCCACAGGTACCCTTCGAAACTAAAATAAACGTTGGAAAGCAAAAAAAAAAAAAAAAAAAAAAAAAAGGAACAAAGTGAACCATCAGGAGCTGTAGGAAGCAGGCTTTGTAGTAACAAAAGAATGTGAGAATGTGGTGCCCCTGGTTCTGACAGGAGGATGTGATTGACTTGATTCAATGATTCTGTGGAATACCAGGGAAGTAAAATTGGTTAGGTTGAGGACATGGTGGAGTGCAAGCAGTCCAGCCCATAGATGAACTAGCTGGGTAGGGGGCATATCTTTTCAGCTACGGAGGAGGCATATCTGATGAGAGTAGAGAACACCCAGTTAGTCTTGGAGGCCCTCCAAGGCCCAAAGATGTCAAGACAACCCGTGAAATAATAGGCCCTACACTACAGCATTCCTAATATAAATATAGTCAATTACACAAGAAGTGAGTGGAGGAGAGGAGACTGATGCAGGGGGCATTAGGCTGTTCTTGCATTGCTATAAATAAATACCTCAGACTGAGTGATTTATAAAGAAAATAGATTAAATTGACTCATCGTTCTGCAGGCTATACAGGAAACAGTGCCAACATATGTTTCTGGGGAGGCCTCAGGAAGCTTTAGTCATGGCAGAAGGTGAAGAGGGAGTAAGCACTTTACAAGGCAAAAGCAGGAGCCAGAGAGAGAAGATTGGAAAAGGGAGTTGCCACACACTTTCAAATAACCAGATCTCATGAGCACTCACTCACTATGTGAAGACAGCACCAAGCCATGAAGGATCCAGTCCTGTGATCCAGACGTTTCCCATCAGAACCCACCTCCAGTATTGGGGATTAAAATTCAACATATTTGGGTAGGGACAAATATATAAACTATATCAACCCCAGCCCCTCCCAAATCTCATGTTCTTCTCGCATTGCAAAATACAATTATGCCTTACCAACAGTCCCCCAAAGTCTTAACACATTCCAGCATTAACTTAAAAGTCCAAAGTCTCATCTGAGACATGGCAAATTCCTTTCACCTATGAGCCTGTAAAATAAAAAAGTAGTTAGTTATTTCCAAGATACCCTGAGGTTATAGGCATTGGGTAAACGTTTCCATTCCAAAAGGGAGAAATTGGCCAAAAGAAAGGGCCACAGGCCCCATGCACATTTGAAACCCAGTAGGGCAGTGATTAAACCTTAAATCTCTGAAATAATCTCCTTTGACTCCATGTCCCACATCTAGGGCACATCGATGCAAGAACTGGTGTTCCAGGGCCTTGGGAACCTCCACCCCTGTGGAGTTTTTCCCTGTGAAAAAGCCATGAAAACCCTGTGCCTTTTTCATACTGAGGCTACAAGTTGCCAGTGGATCTACATTTCAGGGTATAGAGGATGGTGGCCCCCTTCTCACAGCTCCTCTAGGCAGTGGTTCCATTAGGGACTCCATGTGGAGGCTCCAACCCCACATTTCCCCACCTCACTGCTTTAGTAGAAGTCCTCTGTGAGGGCTCTTCTCCTACAGCAGACTTTGGTCTGGCCATCCAGGCTTTTCCATACATCCTGTGAAATCTAGGTGGAGGCTGCCAATCCTCAACTTCGGCACTCTGTATGCCCACAGGAATAACACCATGTGGAAGCTGCCAAAGCTTATGGCTCGCACCCTCTGGAGCTGCAGCCCCAGCTGTAGCTGAGCCCCATTGACCTGAGGCTGAAGCTAGAGTGGCAGGGATGTTGGGGAGAAGTGTCTTGAGATTACACAGGGTAGCAGGGCCCTGGGCCTGACCCATAAAACCATTCTTCCTTCCTAAGATTTTGGACCTGGGATGGGAGAGGCTGCCACAAAGTTCTCTGAAATGCCTTGGAGTCCTTTTCCCGATAGTCTTGACTATTAGCACTTGGGTCTCCTTTAGTTATACAAATTTCTCTAGTAAGTGGCTGCTCCAAAACCTGCTTGAATTCCTTTCCTGAAAAAGCTTTTTCTTTCTCTGCCATATGGCTGCGCTGCACATTTCCCAAACTCTTACACTCTGCTTCTTGTGTAAATATATGTTCCAACTTTAAGTCATTTATTTGCTCTTGCATCTGAGCGTAGGTTGTTAGAAGCAGCCAAGCCACAGCTTGAATGCTTTGTGGCTTAAAAATTCATTCCACCAGATACCCTAAATCTTTAGTCCAAACTTCTACAGATCCCTAAGGCATGGACATAATACAGCCATGTTCTTTGCTAAGGCATAACATGTGTGACCTCTGCTCCAGTTCCCAATAGGTTCTTCATTTCCATCTGCGACCTGTTCAGCCTGAACTTCATGGCCTACATCACTATCAGCATTTTGTCACAACAATTTAAGCAGTCTTTAAGAAATTCCAAACTTTCCCCCATCTTCCTGTCTTCTGAGACCTCCAAAATCTTCCAACCTCTGCCTATTACCCAGTTCCAAAGTCACTTCCACATTTTTAGGTATCTTTATAGCAATGCCCCACTTTTCAGTACCAATTTTCTGTATTAGGCTGTTCTTGCATTGTTATAAATAAATACCTGAGACTGGGTAATTTATCAAGAAAAGAGGTTTAATTGGCTCATGGTTCTACAGACTGTACAGGAAGCGTAGTGCCAGCATCTGCTTCTGGGGAGGCCTCAGCAAGCTTTTACTAGTGGCAGAAGGCAAAGTGGGAGCAGGCCCTAAACCTGGTGAAAGCAGGAACGAGAGAAGGGGTTGGGGGGTGCGACACATTTTTAAATGACCAGATCTCATGTGAACTCGGAGTGAGAGTTCACTTATCACCAAGGAGATGGTCCAAGCCATTCATGAGGGGATTCGCCCTCCAGAAGGAAACACCTCCCACAAGACCCCACCTCCAACACTGAAGATTACATCTCACCATGAGATTTGGAGGGTAAATCCAAACTGCATCACAGGGTCTCTCATCCTCCTAATGAGAGAGCATCACAGCGGATGGTTTCACCCACCCCTGCCATGATTGCCTAATCATAATATTAATGCACAAGTCACTGCACTCTCCATACCTAAGTCTCTGGCAGAAAAGCAATATTCAATTAGAGTACTTAATAAAATATAGACACTATTTGTAAGATTCCCTTCGAATAGACCTCAGTGATTTTTCTCCCTCAGTTATAACGACTGACTGAGTTCAGGATTCCCCCAGATCATGAGAGTTTAGAAACTACCATCAACACTCCACACTGTTCCCAGATATTAATGAGGGGCTCCTTGTATTGAGCAATTTGTTGTAAATCTGGTATGAATCTTGGAGTAGAGCCAAACAATATGATGAAAGTGAGACGGTGATCAAAGGAAACTTGGGGTGACAGAAGAGCTTTATCTTATTTCCCTTCATTTACCGAGAAGTCCTGTTAGAATCACCAGGTAGATTTCGGTGTGAGATGAAGATTAAAATAAGCAGAAGCATATTATTCACATACCAGTAAGATAAATTGCTGATGATTAAAGTGTAAATCTTGGTGCCCTAAGTTGATGATCTCTGCGGGTTTTGTGCACCATTTGTAAATGGCATTATCTTGTCAACTTGGATTTTGGGCAATTTCTTTTCTTTCATTGAGCAACAAACAACATGGCTCTCCCAGGCAACTAACTTGCTACCTAGAGAATGCCTTTGTTCTTGAATTCTAGGAACCAGAATTTGGAATGGAAGCACAAAATTGCAGTGTCTAATAGCCCTTTTCCAAGTCTTCATGAAGTCCGGTCACATGAATGAGAGCCCTTTCTTACGTTTTCCACTGAGGCATTCTCTCCTACCCCTTCTCACAGTGACCATATAAGTGCAGAACCAGGTAAAGATAATTTAATTGATGAACTTCCCCTTAAGGAGCCAGGGTGAACACTTAGCAGAAAAACAAAACAAAACAAAACAAAAAACCTTGGACTTTGGGTGATAATGATGTGTTGATGTAGGTTCATTGACTGTATCAAATGTCCCACTCTGGTAAGGGATGTTGAAATTGGGGTGGTTGCATGTGTGTGGGTACAGGGGGTAGATGAGAATTCTCCATACTTTCCATTCATTTTTTTCTGTGAACTTAAAAGTGCTCTAAAAATATAGTCTATTAATCTAAAAAAAAAGATTTGACAATGTCTTGTGGACTAATATAAAAAGTGGAGACTAGCCAAAACTTCAAAAATGTAGGAGAGGCTGGATGCAGTGCCTCATGCCTCTAATCCCAACACCTTGGGAGGCCAAGGAGGGAGGATTGCTTAAGTGTAGGAGTTCGAGGCCAGCCTGGGCAACATAGAAAGACCCTGTCTCTACCAAATAAATTTTAAAAAATTAGCCTGGCATAGTGGCACACACCAGTAGTCCTAGCTACTCAGGGAGCTGAAGTGGGAGGATCGCTTGAGCCCAGGAGGTCAAAGCTGCAGTGAGCTGTGATCACATCACACACTCAGCCTGGGCTTCAGAGTGAGACCCTATCTAAAAAATGGTCAAAGAATATAGACTAGAAGGAGACTTTCTCAAGAGGTGTATGGGAGAGGAAGAAAAATTACTCCGAAAAATGCTATTTGATATAATTTTCTCATTTTTATTTTTGTTGGAACCATCATGACTACAAAAATTCCCCACCCTCATAAAAATAATTATTCATTCACTTGCTCACTCACTCATTTACGAATTGTTTTTGAGAAGCTCCTATGTGTCAGCACTCTTGCAGATACCGGGATTGTTGAGGTGAACAAAACAGATATGGTCCCCACCCTCAGGCAGGTGCATTCTAGTGAGAGAAGACAAGAAAACTAATATATAAACAATAGTTTAGATGCTTGTAAGTGCTGTTACAATCATAAAACTTGGAAATAGCTGTGCAAAGACTAAAAGAAGAGAATTCCAAGCAGAGGGAATGAGAAATGCAAAATTTCTGAAGCTGTCCTTACCTTGACATAATCACGAAAGAGAAAGGCCAGTCAGGAGTGTGCCAAGCACTGAGCTCCGCAAGCACTATCTCATTAAATACTTCCAACAATCCTAGGCAACAGGTATTACTATTATCCTTGTCGTGTAGATAGGAACCTGAGGCACAGTGAATGAGTCACAGAAATCTACTAATTTTGAGGGAGACTCTGTCTCAAAATAAATAAATAAAGCCATTCCCACTGGAAGAAGAAGCACTTGAGTCCTTTCTCAAAACTAGTCAGGTTTTTTTGTCTAATATCCCAGAGTCATTCGCACTCTTACACATGACAAACCTGTATTTTAAAAACCATTTAGCTCCCCAAATATCTCAGAACAATAAAAGATACTGGGAGACGTGATTGGTGGTCCTTGTCTTGTAAATGCCCTTCTCTTGGTGAGTTTCTGTGCAGAATGGGCATTCTGGAGGAGGTAAGTTAAACAAAAGTCAACAGTTTCCTGACAATTAATAAAAAGATAATTTAGTGACAGAGAGGCAGGTGTGTACAGAGAAATCATAATTCAGCAGTGGAAAGCAGTGTGTTGATAATTTGAAACTATTTAAATCAGATAATAGGGAATGATTGGACTAAATTCTTTCCTATTTCCATCTTTTACTCTCTCCCCTAATTCTGTGCAGGGTAAACATTCCCAAGCCCCTTTGTTCACCTAAACTTCATCACTCAGAGTAGTAAATGGATAATTTTCGGCCACACACTAGAACACTGTCTATCTGACCTGGGTTTTTATTATCCAGATAACATATTTCCCATCTTCTTAATTTATGGCAGAATATGGCATGAAGGCTCAAGAATGAAAGAAAGAGATGGCTTTTTAACAAAAACTGTTAGATTGGTGCAATGATCTAGAATTCTGATGCTGTTTCAGTTGCCCGAAATTGGCGATCACACTTGTTCTTCTGGCATCCCCGCTCGGCGATGCATCTGCCAAGTTGCCTTTGGTTTTATGAGGCATGTGTTTCCAGAGTGTTTTGAATTAAATATCGTAAGAATCCAGCAGGGCTTTTAGGAATTCCACATGGATGGAAAGACAAATATTGGGTTCACAGCTGCCAAGGAAGCCAACACTTGAGGGGCCATAATCTCGAAGAGCAAGGAGGTACTGAGAAGTAAACACTACCCTCCAACTTTGTTCTCAAAACATTGCCAGGTTCTTAAACCACACAGGGGAGAGTGCTGTGCATCTAAACAGAAAGATGCTAAAAAGTAGATCAAAGTTCAAAGCGCTCTCAAGGTGCTGAGAAGGCAAAAAATGTGGAGTAGGAGTTTGCCAATTCTAAATGTGAGAGCATCTAATGATGTAGCCTGAAATATATATGAAGCAAAACTGAGAACTAAAAAGAGACATAGACAATTACACACACATAGAGAAAAACTTGAGCACCCATTTTTTTTTTATGAAATAAATAAGGAGTTATTACCAGATGGGTGCTCTGGGATTCAAGACCAGGTTTGTCTGACCCCAGACCTGAGACACAATAACTCTGAGCATTACTTTGCCAAGTTTACATCATCTTCACCTCTTGAACCTACATCGTTCTCTAAGTTGGATTTCCTTTGCTTGATTTTCATTTTGTGTTTTCGAGATCACTCTCAGTGAGTGGTTCATCATCACATCCTAAATAACCTATTTTATAGTTCCTGACATACCACAGGTATTCAATAACTATTTGCTGAGTGAACACCATCAATGTCTTATGAAAATAATTTATGAGGGTAAAGTCAGCATTGTTTTGTTGTCTTCGGACATTCAGGCTTGTGATCTTTGAACCACAATTCTGAGCCCTATTTTAGAGTGAAGTGAAACATATCACATCTGATATTTTTAAACTGTTGCCAGTGCATACGCTTTGACCACTTCTTGCTCCTTTCATTATTATCCTGACAAATTGTTTGTACCCAAATCCGCAACCATTTTTGGCTAAATTGTCTAATTACACAAGTTATACACATCCTTCCAATTTAAATGGTCCTCTTTTATTTGTTCATTTGTCCATGATCTGTTGTTAAGAACATCTTACATTATCTGCAATGTTGATATAGAAGAAAATAAAATCACTAACCCCAGAGCTAAATCTTCTGAGTCCTTTTTTTGTACAAGCAAGTCCTTTTTTTGTACATTTATGAGTCATAAATTTATTCCGTTACTAAAGATAAATAGGGTATTGGTATTCTCTTCATTCAGCTGTTTAATCAATAGGTCAATCACTCACTAAATAACTTGTATAATTAGTTAATTAAGTCCAAAATGGTGGTGGATTTGGAAACAATGAGTGGAGTTACACAATATTCATTTTGGCCAAGGATTCATCCAATGTATCTTATCTGAATATCAATTATATGATAATATGTAATTTTACTATTGGTCTACAGCATTTTATAGTAGAGATAAGTTATGGATTATGTGATCATTTTCATTCAAACTCAGAAAACCGAAAGCTGCATTTAAGGGATGACAGTATTCCATTAAAGGTTGATGACTACTTCCCATTAATAGATTCTGAAACCTTTTAAGAGAAAGTAATTGATATTCAATTTTAAGAAAGGCGAGAAATGTATAAACTCTGAAGCCATTTTCTCAGAAATGGAAGTGATTTTTAGCATCAAAAACTAATATAAAACAAACTATATGGGTACAGAGAAATATTACCCTTTTTCTCAATTTTAGGAGAGGAAGCATATGAGAATATAAGAGAGAACACATATGGCCCATTTTTATTGAACTTCTGCAAAGGTTTCTTCTCACCTACCTTAGTTTCACATTAAAGGCAATTCTGAGGAAACACATTGGATGTAGGGATGTGTAAATTAGAAATTAGGCCAGGCACGGTGGCTCACACATGTAATCCCAGCACTTTGGGAGGCCAAGATGGGTGGATCACAAGGTCAGGAGTTCAAGACCAGCCTGGCCAAGATGCTGAAACCCCATCTCTACTAAAAATACAAAAAGTAGCCGGGCATGGTGGTGCACGCCTGTAATCCCAGCTACTCGGGAGGCTGAGGCAGGAGAATCGCTTGAACCCAGGTGGCAGAGGTTGCAGTGAGCCAAGGTCGCGCCACTGCACTCCAGCCTGGGCGACAGAGCAAGACTCCATCTCAAAAAAAAGAAAGAAAAAAAGAAATTAATGTATGTTCACTTTTCTCTCATAAACACTTCTAGAATTTTTCAGCCAACAATTTTATTTCAGCAAGATATTCAGGTTGGTTGATTACTTTAAAACTTATATCTCATTATGATGTTTTGGGAACAAACAGAATATATGAAGACTGTGATGACAAGATTTGTTGTGAGACAATATCTCACAGTATCTTAAAACCCTCAGGAATTAAGACTGAGAAGGGTGTAGATTTACAACGTGGTTGTACTCTATTGTGAATCTGCTTAATGCCATTGAACTGTTTACTTTAATATAGTTAATTTTATGTTACATGAATGTTACCTCATTTTTTAAAAAAATACACTGTAGCCTTTTTTAAAATTGGATCTAATGTTATTTCATTTCTTTTTGAAATTTTTATCTGTTATTTTTAATTGACACATCATAATTGTACTTATTCATGGGATACATGGTGATGTTCAATACATATAATGTATAGTAATCATATCTGGGTAATTTTGTACCCTTTAATGAATCTTTCTCTATCCCTCGCTTCACCTAGTCTTTCCAGCTTCTGCTATTCTCTGTTCTACTTCTTACCTCTTTGAAATAAACTTTTATTTTAGCTACCACGTATGAGTGAGAACATGCTGTATTTAACTTTCTGTTTCCGGCTTATTCTGCCTAACATAATGTCTTCCAGTTAGCCAAGTAAGCTCTCCACGCTTCCATTTCTTCGTTTATAAATGTTTCTAAATATCTAACTAAAACATTGTTATGATGAGGTTCAATTGTGATTTAATAGACTACAGCATTTGTAAATGATAAAGCATTACAGAAATGCTAGTTGCTGTTTCTGTTTCTGCTCATGTTGTTCTTGATAGAATTGTCACCGTTTCTGCTTTTAGCTAAACTATAGGAAACTGTCCCCTATGAAGCAAGGAAGGGATTGTGCAAGCTATTTTCATCCATTGAGAAATACTTAGAAAAGAGTGTGCAACTATATTGGCAATTTTTCCTCTTATTTATTTGTGTTGATTGCATGCCCATTATAGCTGAATTCATGAAGACCATTGTCCTCTGGGTTAGATAGTTCCTACCTCTCCCTCCAGACGCACTTTTCACCCTTCCCCGCCCTCCTCTGTGCTCTGAAGACTGACTTCTTTGTACAGCATCACCTGGCTTCCCTTTCTCTCGACTTCTGATGAGGTTTAGTCAATGGAGACACCAGCAGAATTGTGGAGGACAAGAGCACAGAGAGATCAGGGAATTTATTTTGCTTACTCCCTCACTGCTGGTCATGGTTTTGTGAAGTCTGTTCATCTGGGGAGGCCCACAGTACCACTGGATAGCCATTTTCTCATGGCCACCACTCTTATGGGGTGTGACAATCTCGCCCACTTCTGCCCTTCCAGCCTGCATGTGAAGACAGCTCCACTGGAGAAGTTCCCATGTGTTTTGCCCCCTCTCACTGGTTCCCTTAATTTTGTCCACCCCTATGTGAGTATTCCCTATATTAACTCACTCCATTTACTGTCTTTGAATGTGCTACTTGTTTTCTGCCCTTCTGACTGATACACCTTCCCTAACAATATTAATAGGCAACATATGCGTGGTCATATGAATTCGGTGCTATTATTATAAACCACCGATTATACGTGAGGGACACGAAGCCCATTGAGATTAAGTAACTTGCCCAAGGTCATGCAGCTCATAAATGACAAAGTTGATATATGACCTGAGGCAGTTTGGCTACACCATAAAAGCTTTAACCCTTATGCTTTACTGTCTTCACCTATAAAATTGTTATTGGTGCTGCTTCCAAGTTCTTAAATGAGGGTTGTTCAGGCCAATGACTTTTCCCCTTACACTATCAGTGATATGATTTATTGTACTATTTAGTTTTCATTAGTCACTATTAATTGTGAGAAGTGCTTACTCAAAGTCACAAGCCAATGTCCTCCAATCACCAAGTGATACTTTCAATTAGTCTACTAAAAGAACCCCTCTTGCTACATCTAATCTGCCCTTGTTAACATGCTATTAGTGGGCAGCATCCAATTTTCTCTTTTCCAGACACTGAAATGAGGCAGGAGCAGCAATAATTTAGATACAATCAGAGTGGGTTATACAGCCTCATTTTCAAATTAGTAGGAATGATAAAATACTTTGCTACACCATCAAAGACTCCTCCATTTAAAAAATAAAAACAGGAAGATATCTCTCACATTTGTTATGTTTTAAAAGCGAACTTTAGTCTGCATGTATGCTCAGGAGTCTAGGGTGGGATTAAAAACAGACAAAAATACTGAAGAGAAACAGGCACTGGTGACCACTCTGGAAGTTTTGGGTATACCTATGAGATACATGTGATATTGTACACAAATAACACTGTTTAAAATTACTTGACTGGGGGCCATTTGTTCACATGCTTAGGTTTAATAGTGATCATCATATAATACGAACTTACTGCAGGCAGTAGACTCTCCTAACATTTCGCATGTCATAATTCATTTAATCCTTACCGAAGCCCCATGTGGTAGGTGCAGATTAATAAACCCATTTTACAGATAAGGAAACTGAGGCACAGAGACATTATTTAACTTGAATAAACTCAGGATTATTTGACTGGCTCCAAAGTCCAGGCTCATATGCCTTTCTTACTCCCCATTTGGTTTCAGTGATAGCTCCTGGATCATCATTTCCAGTTGTGCTATGAACTTACTCAAGCCCAAGTAAAGACACCGTCCCAGGTGGCCAGCTGGGTAACATCAGCTTGAAGTGAAATGACCAAGAACAATATTCTCTTTAGCTTCCTTAATATGTGTCAAGATTTTCCCTAGAATTCACATTCCTGGGCTTCTGAACAAAGCACTGAATTACCAGACTCAACTCCCCGGTGAGAACTGCAAAACCAAGCAACCTTTGATATATTTTCCTTCCAATATTTAGAACAAAATGAAAGAAAACAAAACCCTGAGATGGGCATTTCAGAATGTGGGCTCCTAAAACCAGCACTTGAAATACTTCCAGGAATGCCAGCCAGAACAGAAAGACCACTGGCAGCAATCTCCAAAGCACACTCAAAAGATCCACAGGTGGCCAGATGGTGCCATGACACAGCCAAGGCTTCCCCAAGGGCCCCAGGATGGAAGAAAATACCAGGGCTCTGTCAGAGACAAGCCTGCATCTGCCAGTGTAAAGAACCTTTCCTAGCCAAGTTATGACAATAGTCATGGGAATACGTTCCTGTCTTCCACTGCCTTTCCTCAGATGTGCACCTAATGTCCAAGAGGAGATTTATTGCAAATGCCTTCACAGTCATCAGGATAGAGAAGGAGTACTCAGGGTCTGGGCTTTGCTTTTCTCTTAAGAGGAAACTCTGTTAGAAATAAAAAGGTCTACAGGATATTGATTTTTCTCTTTTTTTCTTTGAAAAAAAGACTTTTTCACATTCTTTTAATTTTATGGACATGATGATGCCAGAAGTAACATTTGCCTACTTATTATGTGCTGATCATTGTGTTCCTCATTACATTTGTTTTCTCATTTGATAATACAACAGCCTAAAATAGACTGATGGTAAAGAGAGAGAGACAGAGAGAGAGAGAGAAAGAAAGAGAGAGTGAGAGAGAGAGAATAGAAGATAGATAGGATAGATGATAGATGATAGAGAGAGAGATAGATGATAGATTAGATAGATAGATAGATAGATAGATAGATAGATAGATAGATAAATACACACACAGAGAACTATACATGCACAAAAAAAGAAAGAAAGGGAAAAATAATCTGTAATTCCATCACCCTTAATCTTACAATTTTCTTTTTTGCCTATCATGGTCTGCAATCCCATGTACATATGTGTCTTACTGCATGGACATTGGAAATGTTCTTGGAAACAGCAATGGTCAAAAAAAATCCCCCCACCCCTAGAGTTTACTGCAAAGAATGACCCTTCCCCATATGACTTAGATAAAATTTACAAATGACCCTCTTTTTCCCCATGACAAGGACAGACATAGATCCTCCAAATTCCTATTCATTGTCTGGCAAATGATTAGCCAAGTCCTTTGACCCCACCAACCAGTCTGGATAAAACTTCGACTAATTTGACTTGATGAAACTTTAGTCGGGTTTTTCTCCTTCCCCAGGGTCACAAATTTTGGCTCACCTTTAAGCATTAGAACTCAGAACAACCCCTTCTAATAACCCCTCCTGAAACTCAGCTGACCTCAGGAAAAAAGTAATTCCTAATCAATCATCCAATCAATCCACTGACTCATCCCACCTCATGACACCTAATTATTTCTAGCCTTGTTTACTCCTCCCTCTAAAACAAGGGCCAACCCCTTGGCCATCCATGGCCTATTAGGAACCAGGTCTCAAAGCAGGAGGTGACTGTCAGGTGAGTGAGGGAAGCTGCATCTGTATTTATAGCCTCTTTCCATCGCTCACATTGCCACCTGAGCTCCACCTCCTATCAGATCATCAGCAGCATTAGATTCTCACAATAGTGCAAACCCTATTGTGAAGCGTACCTGCGAGGGATCTAGGTTTTGCACTCCTTATGAGAATCTAATGCCTGATGATCTGTCACTGTCTCCATCACCCCAAGATGGGACCATCTAGTTGCAGGAAAGCAAATGCAGGGCTCCCACTGATTCTACATTATGGGAAGTTGTATAACTATTTTATCCTATATTACAAGTAATAATAATAGAATCAAAGTGCATAACAAATGTAATGCACTTAAATCATCCCAAAAACATTCCCCCACCCTGGTCAATGGAAAAACTGTTTTCCATAAAACCAGTCCCTGGTGCCAAAAAGGTTGGGGACCACTGCTCTAAAAGAAAAGCCCCCTTTCTGCCTAGCCTTTTTTTTTCTAGCCTTGTTTTCTCCTCCCTTTAAAAGAAAAGTCCCCTTTCTGCCTGGCCTTTGAGATTTGCTTGCAAATCTCATATGGGAAGATCCTCCCTATTGCAATATGCATTTCTCCCTCATCTGGCTGGTTCTTGTTTAAATCCTCATTTTCAGTAAACTCTCTTTCTACCTAAGTTTAGATCTGTTTTTATTTGATATTATCTATCTAGAAAAAATAATAGTTGATGAAACTGGGACTGGCCTCTATTGCATATGCTCGTTTACAGAGAGGCAGCAGTGTGCCACCTGAAAGTTGGGCAAATTTGGTCTGGTTGCTCACCCTCTCCATACTTCATGTGTCATCACCTGTTCAATGCAGATGACAGTACCTGCTTCATGTAACTGTTGTGAAGACTAAAAGGTTAATATTAAATGCTAACAACACTGCCTGACACACCATAAACACCATACTAGTCTTTCCTTTTGCTGTTATTATTATAAGTTTTTCATTTAATGGTTTATTTTGAATAAATTCTTATGTTTTTAAAATTACTTTTCAATATAGTTTTAATGATGACTAATATTCCATTATGTGCTAAGGTCATAGTTCACTTAACTAATCTCCTATTATATTTTATTCTAATTATTCTCTAAAATATACAATGTTCTTGATAATTTCCAACCTAATATCATTACTCACATCCCTTATTATAGTCCCGGGAATAATTGTTAGATCAAAGGATATATAAATGTCAACATTTATTTTGAAAATATGTATGATCAAATATACGCCAGAAACACTGGGCAAGTGGTTCAGTGTAAGAGTACACAATTATTTGCACATTTTTAGCACATTTTTCCATTTTTTAACTCATTGACAATTTTATAATTTAACATTATATAGAATTTTTTCTTAAAATACTTTGCTATAGCATAAACATGCAAAAAAAAGTGTATGAACAAAAATGTATTGTCCATTAACTTATCACAAAGTGATATTCACAAAGTTTACCCACGTAACGTAATGGTGGCGAATATTAGTAGCACTGTAAAATCTCCCAAAGGCCACTCCCATTTTTATGAATTTTTATAAACAGCATATAGGTTTTTTTCTCTTTAACTCACAGTGAAAATCAGTATCTTTAAATTGAACAGTTCAGTCAGTTCACAGGTTATATGTTTGCCAATATAAACTTATGCTGCTATTTTATTATGTGCTTTCTATCTGTCTAGTCTGTTTTGTTTCGTTTCTTTTTTATCCTTGTTTTATAGTGCAAAATTTTTATTATTCTGTTTCCCATCTTAATTCTATTGCTTCTAATATTCCCTTCTACATTCTATTGCTATATTTTTAATTGTTACCCTAGACATTAAAAAGCATGTTCGATTTATGGAAGTTGAATATAATTTGATAATTTTCGTATCTTCTAGGACCATAAAAGGGTCTTAGAACAGTTTATATACATGTACTCACCTCCTGACATAAATGCTGTTTATGTCTTGTATTTTAATTCTACATGTATTTAAATCCCACAAGTCATTTTCATTTTTGTTTTACATGGTCCATACTCATCGATATATAGACACGCATTTTTACCCTTTCTACTCTTTGTTGCTTCTTGCACCTCTAACCCAAAACCTGGGATCATTTTTCCTTCTGTCTTCAGTACACTTTTCATTACTGTGGGTCTGTGATACATTTTTATCTGTTATTTGTCAAAAATATGTTTATTTCAAAATTTTTAAGGATATTTTTCACTGGTTACAGAGTTCTTGATTGGCATTTTTTTCAGCCATGTAAAGATATCATCTCACTGTTTACTGTCTTCCATTGTTTATGTTGAAAAGTCAGATGTCAAGTCTATTTGTTGTTCCCAGGAAGGTAATCTGTCTTTTTCTTTGAAACAAATTTCTTTTGAAATTTTTAATTGTTTCTGAATTTTAGTACATTTACTGTAATTGACACAGCTGTGGATCCTTTATAAAAGTATTTTTTCTTGAGTTCATAGGAATTCCTCAGTTTTCTTGATGTCTTTAATCAATTTTGGAAGGTCCTCAGCCATTATCTCCTCAAATATTGCTTCTGACTCATTTTATTGCTTCTCTGCTTTTAAAAATATAAATTCTTAAATGTTAGACCTTCTAACTGTATCCTCTGCAGTTCTTATTTTATCTCCTTTATTTTTAATCCTGTTGACTCTTGGTGTTTACTCTGGACTTTTTTCCCTGATGCATCTTCTTGTCCACTAATTGTCTCTTCAATGATTAATTTGTCCTTAAATTAATCCACTAAGTTTTACATTTTGCCTTTTGTTTGTTTCTTTGTTTTTACTTCTAAAACTTACTTTTATAGCATTAGGTGCTTTTTTAATAGTTTCCATTCCTCTGCTATAATTTTCAGTCTCATCTTTTATTTCACTTAACATAAATGTATAGTTGTCTTGAAGTCTGTGGGTAGCACTTACAATATGCAGAGGCTTTGTGGATTTAACCTATATGTTTCTATCATGTGTTGGTTTTTGCTGGTTTTCATCTACAGTGTTTTGGTTTGTTCATGAGCCTATTTAATTTTTATTTGTGGGGGACTATGTTTCTGCTTAATTGCTTGAAATGCTAGGATGAATTTTTTTTCTTCCAGAGAGAAATTGTATGTGATGCTGTAAGTCACACATGGGCACTTGCAAACTAATATGAACTCTATCTTATTTCCGCAGTTGGGGTGATTTCAAACTCAGATGAGGTCTTTGTGAAGGACTGCCTATTTGTGGCTCACATTTACCCCTAAGGTGCTATCCTGGGGAGACCCAAAATATAGTGTCGGTCCATCAGGCCCCCATCCAGCCACTCCCTAAATACCATTCCTTTTCTCCCTAGTCACACCAGATGTTCAATGTACCTCTCAGACCTCAGCATTCCAGCTAATTCCTCTGGAATTGGCCTGCAGGGAAGAGGGGCCTCAAAGTCCAGGATTCCTTCCCTGGATCTCTCTGTACAACCCTGGATACTAGCCTGGAAATCCTTTATTAATAAACCAATGGCTGCTATTTGCATTTGTTATTTTTCTGTTGTCCTTAATGGGAGAGTTATCTGAGAATCATCCCAAAATTACCTAACCTGCCATTACTTAAAGTAAAAAGCTTTTTACATTATTCTTTTATTTAGTTTCATTGATTTTTTTTGGTCAATGATAAATGATTTTTCATGGGCTTATAAATGATTTTTATTTCTTCTGGGAGTTGCCTTTTTGTATATGATAATGACTTAGTATTAATAAATCTACAAGTATTTTAATCCCTCCTTTGTTATCTCTGAGCTGGTGAAAATACAGCCAAATTATTTTGGCCATGTCAGGAAAAGTTTATTATAAAATATGAGTGTAAGTTCATTTTAGAAAAGATATAAACTTCTAAATTATCAGCAATTCCTGTGCTTTAAACATCTAGTTCCTAGTCATGGACAACGTTGTCTATTTTCAAAGTGTAGAACACATAACTCTCAGTTTTGCCTGTTAGGAAAGTACTAACATGGAGAATGCAAATGAAACCTACATATAACCAAGCCATTTATTAAACAGTATTTAATACTCTTTCATCACTAAACTATTGAAACAGCTAATAAGCTGTAATGTTGACTTATTTGGGGTTTTGCCTCATTCTTAAAGGTTGAAATGTTAAAAGTTACTGAAGTATCTATGGGGTTAAAAGTAGGGTAGACTTTATAAAGAGAACAGGTTTTATACCAATTGACAAGAGAATCTAAATGTAAATGTCTACTCAGAAAAAAACAGCAAAAGCTGAGTTTATGGATCAATAGCCTACCTTAATGCAGTTTGTCTAAGTGCCTTCACACATTTCCTCACAATTGATCTTGACCTTTAGATATGATATCCATTTTTACAGGAAGAAAACTTGGGTCTAGATTTAGTCAGTGTATTGGACTGCAGACATTGTTTCTTTCATAACTAATGATGACGAGCATTTCCTTCTCATCTCCATCACCTGCTAGATGGAAATCTTTTGATGACTACTCATCAATGCTATTTCTTGAATAATACGATTGCGCTAATGAAGAAGGCCTTGTTTCCTGGCAAAACTATGAAAAAGATCTGCTGAGAAGTACCTAATCAACCACCTAGTGGTTGCTCTCCACACAGTTAAACCCGAAGTTACCTCACCTAGGACTTAACTGTGAGGAGAGCAACCACTATAAGGCAAACAACAGGTTCATTGCTAGAACTCCCCCAGAGGCATGGGGTTGTGATGTGAATGCATCATGCAGCCTGGCAGCAGTGGAAAGCCTTTTGTAAGATATTTTTCAATGTTCCCCGGCCCCTTTGGTAGGTACACATCAACCTTTCTCACATAAAAGTGGTTCGCACTTCTCTGAGATCTCTGGGAAGCCAAAGATACAACACTTCCATCACTGGTTTTATAATACTGTCTATTTTCCAGAAAAGGCTGATGAAAGGATGTATACCCGTTTACCTCCAACCGCCCTTGGATTTCAGAATCTATGAAAAGAAACAATGAATCGGCCAGGCGCGGTAGCTCACGCCTGTAATCCCAGCACTTTGGGAGGCCGAGGTGGGTGCGTCACCTGAGGTCAGGAGTTCGAGGCCAGCCTGGCCAACATGGTGAAACCCTGTCTCACTAAAAATACAAAAATTAGCCAGGCATGGTGATGCACAACTGCAATCCCAGCTACTTGGGAGGCTGAGGCAGGAGAATCGCTTGAACCTGGGAGGCAGAGGTTGCAGTGAGCCAAGATCACACCACTGCACTCCAGCCTTGGCTACAGAGCAAGACTCCATCTCAAAAAAAAAAAAAAAAGAGAGAGAGAGAGACAATGGACCAATGCCAATATTTTCCCCTTTCCTTAGCTCTTATTGTGGAAAAAAAAATAATTGTATAAGAACATTTGAGGAAATGCTGACAGTCACTTTTTGACAAATAGACCAATAGGCCAGAGGCAACCCAGTAAAACCAACAGACACCCAAATGCTTAGGTATTTGGAGTTTTATGTCTTTCTCTAGCTCGCTGGAGTATTATGTCTTTCTCTAGCTCAGTGTTTCCCAGCCATTGATAATCTACATCTCACCTACATATGTAGTTTTTGATAGGTGTGCATCACCAGTGTTGGGAAAATACACTTCAAAACAAAATATCTGGCCAACGCAGAAAATCTCCCCATAAAGATAGTAGAAAAAGAAAATGTAGTTTTATCATTTTATTATTGAATAAGTGTTAAACCAGAATGTGATACACATCACAGGCAATCTGCTAAGAGATTGCAAAGATAGAAAGAAATCTCACCCTTTAATATAGTCAAAGCAATACAACTCATTACACATGTTCTCAAGATAAATAATAACTAGTTCTGAAGTAAAGGACCTAACAGCACCATTTGTCACACATAGTTCATTCTAAATTCACCAAGTAATTGAGGTTACCATCTGTGTTACCTAATTGGCTTCATACAGAAAAAAATACACTTTTTCTATCTTTATGACAGGAGATAGTTTTGCAACTTAGAGTAAGGAGACTATGCAAGTTAGACTCCTACCTTTTCACAGAAGCTGGGAGAGAGGGCAGCCATCTTCCTTGTAAACGATATTCCAAAAGGATGAGTCCCAGGTTCATAAGAAAAGACATTCCTGGTCATAAAGCTGGAAAAGACTTCTTTAGCTTTTAAAGAGATTTACATACATTTCAAAGAGACAGAGAAAAACAATTACAATTAGGAAATCTCTAAAGTGCTCTAAGAAAAGGAAGGAGGTATCTCTTTCTTTATTTTTCTTATTTTCAACAGGGAGAAGTCAGTCTCTTATTTTAAAATTGTATTTGCTCTTTACACCTGTACTGTTTTTATTTAATTTTTTATTCAATTCATTGATTCTTAAACTTAGCTAAACTGCAATTCATGAAATAATAATTTTGATGTATTGAAAATAATTTTAAAACATTTAAAATAAGTGAGTCATCACCAAAATTTTAGTTTTTATTTTCCCATATAAAATGACTTTACACGACACTAGTGATAGGACCACCACAATCTGGGAAGCACCGTCTAAGCTGAGCTCCATGGCTAAAATTGAAGATGCGATAGTCCTAGAATAACTAAGATGATTTTGCCAATGGAAGACTAAACTCCAGATACCAAAAAAGGAAAGCCTTCGTAGGTTCCAAAATATGTGAAATTTCTCTCTTTCAGGCAAAAGTAGGAGGGGGAGAAATTTTGACGGGAAATTTGTTAACATTTTAACACAGAGCATCCATGAAGAAATGGATCATTATTTTTAATTACATGCAGTTATTGGAAGAAGGTTCATATTAACAACCAGCACATTGATAACCAAGAGTGGTTCTTAGAAAGGGGAGGGGTGTTGGTTTAAAAGTAAAATAAAAATTGTATGGAATTATAAGTTCATAGGTATAAGCCAGATGCTCCCTATGTCTTTCAGCTCTCCTTTCTTCAATGTCTGCACATGGTAGCTCAAGTGAAGAGCTTTCGTAGTGGCAAGCTGAGCACTGCACATACACACCTCCCCACCACAAACCTGCACCTGCTCTGGACCAGCCACGGCTCGCTCCATGCCATGTCCTGGTTCCTGTGGCTCTGCCCATTATGCCTTGATGTTTATTGGACATCACTCCACCCCACTCAGTCACCCAAAGAGCTACTTACCTAATGCTGACCAAACTGGATTTAGTGACAACCCTGGGGCAAAATATAGAATGAGAGCCCTGGAAATTGAGAGCTAAATACCACTTTCCCAGAGCTTAAGAAAAGACAGCTAGAGCGAGCAAGAGAGAAGCCACTGGCTCTAGCGCCATCATAAATGGGGGCACATCCAGGTCCTCCTCCGTGTTTCTAAGTCCTCCTTGGTTCAAGAGTTTTCTTCTCCATGTCCTCTTGACAGCACCGTCCCATTCCTTGGGTGTTCTCCCTACTTATTTAAAAAGATGTCTGTATTAGTTTGCTAGGGCTGCCATTTAAAAATGACCACAGACTGAGTAAAACAACAGAAATTTATTGTCTCACAGTTCTGGAGGCTGGAAGTGTGAGCTCAGGTGTTGGCAGGGTTGATTTCTTCTGAGACCCCTCATCCTGGCTTGCAGATGGTGTCTTCTCCCTGCGTTTTCACATGGTCTTTCCTCTGTACATGTCTGTGTCCTCATCTCCTCTTAACAAGGATACCAGTCGTATTGGATGAGGGTCCACCCTAACAACCTCATTTTACCTTAATTATCTCTTTAAAGACCTTGTCTCCAAATATATTCACACTCTAAAGTACTGGGGAATTAGGGCTTCAATACATAAATTGGTGGAGGGGAGTGCAGTTCAGCTCATCACAGTGACTTACTCAACCTAGACTGTGCCCAAAAGTTCATGTCTTTTTCAATCAAGATATACAAAGATGTTTTTCTGAATAAAAACCCTGCAAACTTATGAGATGAATGTTGCCTTTCCCCATAAAACTTAGAGGTAAGACAGATATGTTATCTTCAAAACATTAATCCTCCCAAAATTGTAAGCATCCCTTCTAATTTGATTTTAATTTGATTCTAGATGTAGGCAAAACACACTTCCGTAAACATTAAGCAGTAAAAAAGCACAATGCATTTTAAAGGACTGGGTTTTCACACTGGATAGAGGTGGCATGGAATCCCAGCCCATCATCACCACAGGGACTTTGAGCGCGTTGCTTAGCCAGGTTGAGCTGCCTTCTTTTCTCCTGTCAACTGGGTATTGTTAAGGTAAGAAGCTTCTCATCTCAACCAGGCTTCCAGTTAAGGTGAAGAAAATAAAAGCTCACTCTCCTCCTCTTCTCCCACTAATAAGAAAAAAATTCCGGCCGGTCGCGGTGGCTCACGCCTGTAATCCCAGCACTTTGGGGGGCCGAGGTGGGCGGATCACGAGGTCAGGAGATAGAGACCATCCTGGCTAACACGGTGAAACCCCGTCTCTACTAAAATATACAAAAAAATAGCCGGGCGTGGCGGCGGGCGCCTGTGGTCCCAGCTACCGGGGAGGCTGAGGCAGGAGAATGGCGGGAACCCGGGAGGCGGAGCTTGCAGTGATCGCGTCACTGCACTCCAGCCTGGGGGACAGGGCGAGACTCCGTCTCAAAAAAAAAAAAAAAAAAAAAGAACAAAAACTCCTGGACATAAAACAGAAAGCAACCCACAGAAGGCTCTGAAATGTGGAGATTAGAAGGTGTAGCGGCTAGGGACCTCAGAATTCCAGGGAAGAGGAAGGATGCTGTTTACTTTTGCATCCTAAACACCCTGGCCCTCCAACCTAGGACCACCAAGGAGCACAAAGACAAAAAGCTCCAAGAAAATGTTGTTCTAGGTAGACAGCCGACTGGGAGGAGGGAGGCGCTGCAGATTGATCTCTTTTAACTGTAACCACTCCTCTAACAGTTAAGGAGCGCCGCTTCCTCACAGGAGCAGCTGGGCCGATGCCCCTCCCCACCTGAGTCCTCCACCAAGGGGCGTGGGGGGCTGGGCCCAGTCAACCAGCCTTTCCCAGAATTAGGCAAAGAATAGAAGGAGGTGGTGCCCCGCCCCCCGCCACCCCACCAGATACTGATCCCAAGGGGGCTGAGGGGTGGGACCTTGTCCAGCCACCAAGCTCTACACTAAGCCCCCCAGTAAAGGGGGCAGGCTCCACCCTTTCCTAAACAGCACTTCCTGTAGCCCAGGAGATTGTGGGGTCCAACCCTGGCCCCTGGCCCCAGGGGCACCAAGAGAAAGCCAGCAAAGTGATGGGGACCCGCCTGGGCAGAGTCTGACAGCCAGCCCTGCCCAGCCCTGAGCAAAAGTTGCAAAGAGAGGGTTTCCCCACAAAGCCCCTCCTACAGGAGCTGCCGCCTGCAGCCCGTGAATTGGAGGTCTCAGGAGGACAACTAGCCTCTCCCAGCAGAGCAAATGCCCCACAGAGAGGGTACCTTCCCCTACCGCGCCCTGCCCCCGGGGAGCCTAGTGAGGACCCCTGGCCAGTTTTAAGAAAAAGGCCACACTGGCGTGGGGCCCCTCCCCTTCTTACTGTGGGAGAGGTCTCTCCGTTGGCCACGCCCATTTCTGGTAAACGTCACAAAGAAGTGTGCCCCTCCTCCTCCCTAGAAGCCTGTGGGGCCGAGATGCCCGGACCTGCCCGGCCCGAACTAGGCAAAGTCCAGCGAATAGGTGAAGAGGTGGTGCCTCCTCCTCTCACAGGGCTCTGCCCCTAGGAGTCCAGGAAACGGGGGTGTCTTGTCCGCTGATGGTTCCCGCTAATAGGCAAACACCAGGAACGTGCAGCCCCTCCCCTCCGCCTCGCGCTCTTTCTGGGAGGAGCCTGGGGGGGGGAGGGTCCTGCCCACGGGCCCCGCCCTGCACTAGGCGGAAGCCCCCAAAGTATCAGCGCCGCTTCGTGGAGCCTGGCGACTGCTTTGGGAAGTCCTGCTGGCAGGCACTCTGCCCCTGGGGGTGTGCAAAGAGTTGTCCAGTTACCTTGATCTTCTCACAGCCTCCTCCCCAGGGCACCAGGAGAGACCAGGATTGGAGGACGGTAAAGAACACACTTCCCAGAGGATTCTTGGAGGTAGAGTCAACAGGAAGGGGTGGTGAGACCTGCACAGACCTGCTCTGTCCCCTGGGCCTGGTGACAGATGACCTGGATGTTGGGTGCAGCTGGGCAGGGACTGCAATTCTGTGTGTCCCTTTTTCTGGGAGCCACAGGAAACCCATGCCCTAATCCACATCAGACTACCACTTGTCCTTATCCTCCAAACGCAGCAAAATATTACACAAGGTCCAGGGCAAGGCAGGATGGCCACCTCGCTCACTCATCACAGCTGTCCTCTGACCTGAGCAGGGCCGTTCTGTCTCAGACCTGGAGACCCCGCACTCAGGGCGTTCAGGAACTCCCCGACCCACCAGGAGCCTCTCCTGGTGTCTCCCAGGGATTGTCAATAGTTCCATTTTCCTTGAAGAACTTGTTTTCAGGTATGCACTTCTCTAAACACGTATGCATTATTTTTTCTATTTTAAATTTAACCACGTTGTTTTATTTTTAATCACATCTACACTTTGTAAATTTGGAAACGGAGTGATTTTCCATGTTCAGTAATGATAGCAAGCTTCCTTTTAAAATACGTTTTACTTTTTATCTTCTTTTTTTTTTTTTTTTGAGATGGGGTCTCCCTGTGTCGCCCAGGTTGGAGTGCGGTGGCCGATCTCGGCTCACTGTAACCTCCGCCTCCCGGGTTCAAGTGATTCTCCTGCCTCAGCCTCCTAAGTAGCAGGACTACAGGCACACGCCATCACGCCTGGCTGATTTGTGTATTTTTAGTAGAGACAGGGTGTCACCACGTTGGCCAGGATGGTCTCGATCTCCTGATCTCATGATCCACCCGCCTCGGCCTCCCAAAGTGCTGGGATTACAGGCATGAGCCACCGCACTGGGCCTAAAATATGTTTTTTAAGGAAACAAACAAAAAGCAAGTCAGTGTGATGAGGTGGTAAATATAGGACAAAAAATCATGAAGGTGTTTCTCAAATGAGAAAATTAGAAAAAAACTGTATCTCACCTTTCCCCCTACCTTACACATGGGCGAGTGGCAAATGTTTATTGAACAATTGCACATGTAAGCACCCTGCCAGGTCGTCTTTACATCCCCAACCACGTTACAAGGTGGATGTGATGATCCCTGTTGGTGAGGACACGGGAGCTCAGGGAAGCCAGCCCAAGGCTACAGAGCCAGCATTGCACAGTCAGATATCAGTGAGGGAGAAGGAAAAGAAAAATCATTTGGGAAAAAGTCAGACTGCAGAAGCAGTCGGCCTGAATAGTCACAGCAACAGGCAGAAATAAAACAACCTGGGAAAACACTCAGGCTGTACCTGGACAGATAAACAAGCAATGTCCAGCCCAGAATCTCTTTGTTCTTTGTAATTAGTGAGCTCCCAGGAAAAATTTCCTCCCCTTTTCAGGCATATACATGATGAGAACTTGCACAAGGGGGAGGGAGCTTACCTAAAACAAACCCACAGTTATACAAACAAGAGAAGCTGTACTTTGTGCTTGCCTAGAGACATACCCACGGCCGCATAAGAGAAGGGGAGTTGCACAGACACCTTTACTGATAAGAAAAGTTACCCAAATAATTACAGGGAGGAGAGCAGTTTCTTGTAAAAAGCTTTTGAGGCTGGGTGCAGTGGCTCATGCCTGTAATCCCAGCACTTCGGGAGGCCAAGGCGGACAGATCACCTGAGGTCAGGAGTTCAAGACCAGCCTGGCCAACATCGTGAAACCCAGTCTCTACTAAAAATACAAAAATTAGCCGGGTGTGGTGGCACGTACCTGTAATCCCAACTACTCGGGAGGCTGAGGGAGGAGATTGGCTTGAACCGGGGAGATGAAGGTGGCAGTGAGCCGAGATGACGCCACTGCACTCTAGCCTGGGAGACAGAGCAAGACTCCATGTCAAAAAAAAAAAAAAAAAAAAAGCTTTTGAATTCAGCTGTAAACTGGCAGTCCACTTGCACTCCCCTCTCCACTGCAGAGAGTTTTCTTCTTTCACTTATTAAATTTTTGCTCCAACCCCAAGTTTGTGTCCAAGTTCCTTAATTTTCTTGGATTTAGGACACAGAACCCAGGATACTAGTTCAGACAATGAGGAACTGCTAGGTTAAGGTGCATTGGTGAGACTGCAACATCAGGACCTGGGTTTTCCTGAAGGTTGGAGGGAGAGAAAAGCCAGTTCCCTGGCTTAATCTCTGTGGTTGGCCACCACCCACTTAAGTTTCAAGCCACATAGGATCAAATCCACAGAGACGACGTTCAGGAATAGAAGCCTGAGCTCAACCACAGCAGTGTGGTGATAGGAATGAGAGAGTGGGGAGATGCCACAATATCCAGTTATATGTAGAAAAAGGCTATTGTGTCAGCAGATTTTATAGAAAGGGCTGGAATGAACAGGCTGCCACACACTGTCTCTGCAGGAACAAGATTCGCAAGGATACAAACAAATGCATTTATAGGAACTCACTAGGCAACAGCAATACCATTGCATTGATAGGTGTGCAGACATGTTTGTGCAGGGAGTAGAGAGAGAAGATGGGTAGCCAAGGAGAGAGAGAGAACAGCAAATCCCAGTGTTTCTTTCAGCACAACCTCTCAGGAACTCATAATTAATGCATTAATTCTCACACCCCTGTTTCTGGACTTTTGTGTGTTTCCTCACACTTCCTTTGATCTCATTTTCCAAAGGATAAATGAAGTCTAATGGAGATAAAGCACTGACATTTACAGAGGGTTAGAGACTAATGATATTAATGACATTCTTGTGGTTTGTCCAACATTATTTTTGTGCAGATTTCAATTCATGCTGCACTCATCCTGGGGGCAAAAGTTAAAGGTTTTCTAAAAAGCTACTTAGTGAATGTCTTAGTTAATGGAAAAGAAAATAAGTCAATCCTTTTTTTTCTAACCTTGAAGTTGCAAAGATTGACAATGAACTCTGTAATGGTGCATTCTCCTCTTGTGTGGTTTTTGAAAGCTGAGTTATCCTTCCTGTAATGATTCTGCACCTGCAAACTATACGTACGTGTCTCATTTTGTTTCATAATAAGAAATCATAAACAAACCCGAAATAGCTTAGAAATAAATGTAAGCAATTCATGACTAGAAATAAATAACATCTCTCACATTTCTTCCCTAGAATAAATATCATTGTTTACCCAAGGATGCCAACTATTTGCATGGTGGTGTTTAGTCAAATTCATTTGTTTAATACATGTATATTGGGCTAGTGTCTGGAGACACAGTGGGCTACAAGGGAAGGGTCTCTTCCATTTTAACCGAATATCAACGTTAGAGACAAATATTAGGTCAGATATTTGTCTTCTGTAAAGTGGCAGCACAGAGTCAAATCTATGTTTCCCTAGAACAGTGAGTACCTCCTAAAATTGAATCCATCATCAACATTTAAATATCAGAATATTGCATGTAAAAATAGTGTTTCCTTCTTCCCTTTGAAACAAAGATTAATTCACACTGGGCCTATATTACTGCATGAAAACAGCTGACTGCAAGTGCTGTGGTTTGGATGTTCCCCCCACCCCCCCCCCCCCGGCCCCAACAACCTCATGTTGAAATTTGATCCCCAGGGTTGGAGATGGAGCCTGTTGGTGTTTAGGTCCTGGGAGCATGATGTGGTTTGGCTGTGTCCCCACCCAAATCTGATCTTGAATACTAGCTCCCATAATTCCCACATGTTGTGGGAGGGGCCTGGTGGGAGATAACTGAATCATGGGCGTGGTTTCGCCCATACTGTTCTTGTGGTAGTGAATAAGTCTCACGAGATCTGATGGTTTTACAAAGGGGAACCCCATTCACTTGGCTCGCATTCTCTCTCGTCTGCCACCATGTAAGATGTGACTTTTGCCTTCCACCATGATTGTGAGGCCTCCCCAGCCACGTGGAACTGTGAGTCCATTAAACCTCTTTTTCTTTATAAATTACCCAGTCTTGGGAATGTCTTCATCAACAGTGTGAAAATGGACGAATACAGGGCATATCTCTCATGAATAGATGAATGTCCTCCCTGGGTGGTGGTGAGTGAGTTCTCACTCTCTTACTTTCCGGGAGAGTCTGCCTTCCTCAGTTTCTCTCTCTTGTCATGTGGTCTCTGCACACACCAGCTCCCCTTCAACTTCCCCCATGAATAGAAGCAGCCTGAGGCCCTTTCCAGATGCAAATGCCCAAGCTTTAACCTTCCAGTCATCAGAATTGTGGGCCAAATAAACCTTTTTATCCTTTATAAACTACCCAGCCTCAGGCATTCCTTTATAGCAACACTAAACTAAGAGCAAGTGAGCGCCAGCCATTCTTTTCAGTTGGGCCACACGACTTTCAGTTCACTACCATCCCTAACTGACTGCTTCTTTCACTAAATTCACTTTTCAAACTAATATTATATTTAGATAGCAATTTCTGAAAAAAATTGATTGCACAAATTTGTTTAATTATATCAGCAATCCGCATTGCAAAGGAAAAATTAAAGAACATGCTACATGGGGTGGAGAGATCTTCCCTAGTCTCAGGTCCCAGCCCCTGAGACTTCTCCAAAATCAGGCTGCAGGATTCAGCACTGATAGGGCCAGCCAGGTAAAGCTTCTGACCCGCACTGAGCTTTACAGATTGAAGTCATTTCAAGCTCCATTAAATAGCTATTCATGTTTGCCTGATAATGTGCATATTATTCTGGCTAAATACATCTGTTACCAGGAGCTGGTCTGCTTCAAAAATTCTTGGCCAGAGAAAGGGCCAAGACAACATCTTCTAGTTATTAGGAAGATTATTTAAGCTGTTGAAAAATGGTTTTGTGGCTAAGAATCATATAAATCCCGATATTTTAACTTGAAGCAAGGTGCTGAGCTATTACAGTATTCAATTATCTAAATGCTACAATGCTACAAGGCAAATGTTCCCAGGTCTGACATATTAATCTACTTGACATTTAACAAATTACACTGTGTTTTTATAGAGTGACAGCTATTTGAGAAGGCCAGAACACATGTCACCCAGCCTGTCCCCTGCCTGCCCTGACCACCTCCATTAACGCACCTGTTATTGATATAAAGGGGACACACTTAAATGTTTCCAGAAGAAAAAGCACCTGCAGCTTTTAGGAAAGATACCTCAAGGTCAGGGATTGTGCACATAAGGCTAAATCTGCCATGCCTTTCATCTTGAACGATGAATTTTGGTACAATAACAGAATTACTTCATCTTCAGTAAAATTCCAGCACATAGTCACTTCTCAGCTAAGTAAACCTTCTCTGTTAACTTTCCCTTATGAAAACAAAGGAGCAAGGACATTGGTACCTATGATCCGTCTTTGCCAAGCCACATATGACAATCTCATATGACACATGCAAAAGGCTCTATCTCATAACCACAATCTGTTAAACACCTTCTCCATGTAAGGCACAGCAAGAGGTATTTTGAATGTATTATCTTGTTGTCATCATAACAAAAGTAACAACAGCTAACTTTATTAAGGGCTTAGGATGTTCGGGCATGTACAACCCATGGATCATTGTGTTTAACATTTACAACAACCCTGCAAGGTGGCTGCTCTTACTATTCTATTTATTAACTTTTACTACTCATTTACCAATGAAGAAACTGAGGCTACAAGAAGTTAATTTGCCCCAAACCCAAACGTTTATAAACTAGAACTAGGGAATAAAACATTGTAGGAGCACGGGTCAGCATCAACTGCCATGTCTAAGAGCCACAGTGGACATCAACCCAGCCCAGCCTTCAGATGAAGGCAGACTTAGCCACCATCAGTTAAGAAATATCTGCAATTGAGCTTGCAGTGAGACACAATCACGCCACTGCACTCCAGCTTGGGTGACAGAGTGAGACTCTGTCTCAAAAAAAAAAAAAAAAGAAAAAAGAAAAAGAAAAGAAATATCTGCAATCACGTAAGACTCAGACTAAAGAAGAATCTGGGTGGCTGAGCCCAGACAGCCCGCAGAACCAAGGGAGACAATAAATGATCATTTTAAGCCGTTACATTTTGAGCAGTTGAATAAACTAGATACTACTAATATACCAGTTTTACCCATAAGGAAACTGGGGCTCTGGAGAGTTAATTTGTCTAACATCAAAGACTTGTCAGTGAAAGACCCGGGAAACGGTTTCAGGTTCCTCTGACTCAATGGCCCTTATTCACACAGGTGCAACCTACGGGCCACTCTTCTTTGCCAAATGTATTTGAACATTCTATGCCAAATACATGGGATGTGTCTCCAAGACCATCAGCCACTAAGCATGCATTATATGTAGGCATATGATAACATACACATAAGAGTTTTGATATGTGGACACTTTAATCCAGCCTTATATAATTTCTAACTAGGAATTTATCACACCTGTGTTCATGTAAAAAAAATGTAAAATCAGCTTATTAATGATAATGTTCAATGAAGACAGCACAAACACTATCTTCCATGAATCTCCAACCCACTGCACTGATTAAAATTAATTTTTAAAACATCCATGCATCACAGAAGTTGTAATCTGCAGAGCAGGGGATTATTTTTCTTCGTTGGGTAAAAATCATGCCTCTCTCCAGTTATCAGAAGGAACAGACGGTGCATAGCACAGTAAAAATGAGCACAAACCACAGCCTGATTGCCAGCTCCAAATCCAAGAACTGTCACTGCCTCTGTGACTTTGAACACGTTTCTTTCATTTTTGAGTAATGACTTTATTGAGATATAATTCATGTGTCATAAAGCTCTCCCCCTTGAAGTATACAATTCGATGGTTTTTGTTATATGCACAGAGTTGTAAAACCATCACCACTAATTCCAGATCATTTTCATAACTCCCAAAAGAAACCCTGTACCCAGTAGCAGTCACTGTCCATTTCTGCAGTCCCCCAAGACCCTGCAAGCACTAATCTCTTTTCTGTCCGTATGGATGCGGTTATTCTGAAGTTTACATATAAGTGGAATCATACGATATCATTCTGTGTCTGGCTTTTTTCACTTAGTGTGATGTTTTCAAAGTTCATTCATATTCTAGCATGCATCAGAATTTTATTCCTTTCTATGGCTAAATAATATCTCATTGTGTGGATGATTATCCAGGCCATATGGGTTGTTTGCACTTTCTGGCTATCGTGAATAATGCTGCTGTAAACATTTGTGTACAAGTTTTGTGTGAACACGCTTTTGATTCTACCACATGTAGTGCTGGGTTGTCGCTAGTGTAGGCATGTTTCTTACTCTCTGAGAACCTCCATTTCCTTGTCTGCAACGGGGCACAATAGCAGTGCCTCCTTCATGAGGTTGTTGTGAAGATTAAATGCATTAACTCTAGAGAAAGCATGTTAGGACCTTTTTCTATGATGCTAAACATTGTAGCATTTTCTCCCCAGCAGGTCTAGCATGGCCTAAGCTGTGCCTCCACTTCACACGCTTTTGTGCCTTTCCCCGTCGGCACACACAAGCCACACTGACTACTGGAACTTTCCAGTTATCTCTAGTCTCTGGGCTCTTTTGTTATTCCCTTGTCCTGAAATATCTTTTTTTACTGCTCTATTCTTGGCTGAATTTTCTCATCCTTTACGTCTCAGACTAAAGAACTAACTGCCTCCTAGGTGGGCCCATCTCTGAGCACCCTGAGAACAATAGGCTTGTCTTTCCTGTTCTCTGATTATTTTCAGTATAGCCCTATAAGGGCTGTCATATTCATTTCACCTGTTCTCCCATTTATTGTCGACCTCTCCACTGCACCAGAAGCATCAGAAGTTAGAATATACGCCTTTCTCACTATAGGCCTTCTAGCCAAGGTGAGGACACATATTTCATGCTCAAGAAATATTTGTCGAATGAGTGAATTAGTGAATTAAAAATTTTAGGTGGCCGGGCACGGTGGCTCACGCCCATAATCCCAGCACTTTGGGAGACTGAGGCAGGCAGATCACGAGGTCAGAAGTTTGAGACCAACCTGCCCAACATGGCGAAACCCCGTCTCTACTAAAAATACAAAAAAAAAAAAAATTAGCCTAGTGTGATGGCGGGCACCTGTAATCCCAGCTACTTGGGAGGCTGAGACAGGAGAATCGCTTGAACCTGGGAGGCGGAGGTTGCAGTGAGCCAAGATCGTGCCACTGCACTCCAGCCTGGGCGACAAAAGCAAAACTCCGTCTCCAAAAAAAAAAAAAAAGAAAAACAAATCTAGTGACTGCATATTGCAGGATCTGGCCAGCAGCCCGCAATGCAACAGGGCTCTCTCTTTGTTCCCAGGCGGATCGGCAGGTTGAGAAATAACAGACACACACAAGATAGTGAAAGCTGGGTCCCGGGGGATCACCGCCTTCTGGTCCCGCGGTGCCAACAATGCACTGGATATACCAGCATTTATTATTAAGTTTAGTGAGGGTGGGGGTAGGTTAGTGAGGGTGGGGGTAGGTTAGTGAGGGATTTAGGGTCATTTGATTATGAGGTGAGATGGTCACATGCGGATGAAGTAATTCTTTAACATAACATTTGTATGCAGAAGTACAGTATACAGAGATAAGAATTTACACTATAGTGTGTGGGTCAGTAATTTCTAACAGAGCCTTAGAACAGAAACACAGTCTTTCCATAACCTAGGATTAGCAAGATATTAATCAGCAGTAACAATTGCAACAAAAGCTGGTTACAAACAATCCATGGAAACAGGACATGAAGCTAGACAACCGGTTAGACCAGAAATTCTCAGAAGGGAGTATGCCTTAACCCTGAAGAGGCCTAGAAGAGCCGTGGCAAGATGAGGGTGTTTATAGCCCTATCTTATCCATATGGACAGGCACCCCCCATGCGTCCGTTTATAGGCTCCCCACAAGGGTCGCATTCCATTCCCAGAGCTATGAACATCTGCTTTTCTGGGATAGGAATCTTGGTGATGTGAAACCTCCCTGACTGCACGTCCATTCATAGGCTCTCTGCAAGGGGAAGCACATCACGCGCTGTTGGCTCATTCTGGCGTCCAACCTGGCATTGTCTTTACACAATCCTGCATGCAATTTTGTATTTACAATAATCAGGAGCATTTCATCTTTTACATAACATTCCATAGCAATAGTTTCAGGGGGTCTCCCTACAACTGCATAATATTTTGTTAGATATAAGGTCTTACCAATTTTAACAATTATTTTACATTTATTATGGCTTTTTGGTGATTCTAATTTTATCTATTATAAATATAACAAAGTATTTCGAATGGACCTGTGCTGAGAGTCATAGAGGTCCATGCACAGACTTGGGTATCACACACGCACTCACTTTAGTGATTCACAGAGAGGTGGAAGAAAGGGAAAAAGTCTAAGCTCATGCAGCATGGGAGGTGTGAGCTATGGGCTCACTGCACCCAGGGACAAGCTGGTCCTGGGACCCACAAACTCATGGGACCTCAGAGAAGTTTCTGGTATACCTGTAAGGCCTATTAGAAATTCTGAGAAATAACTGAGTCACCCTAGAATATTGGCTATTATTATTATATTAACCTTAAGCCCCATGGGTCTATACTAATGCTAAATTAACATTACCCAAGTAGTGGCTTTTCTCTTTTTTAATATAAATATTGCCTATATATGGAATAAGCTCTAGAAAAGTGAATTTCTTTTTTTTTTTTTTTTTTTTTTTGATATGGAGTCTTGCTCTGTCACCCAGGCTGGAGTGCAGTGGTGCTATCTTGGCTCACTGCAACCTCCGCCTCCCAGGTTCAAGAAATTCTCCTGCCTCAGCCTCCCAAAATAGGCACTGGCCACCGCACCTGGCTAATTTTTGTATTTTTAGTAGAGATGGGGTTTCACCATGTTGGCCAGGACTGTCTCGAACTCCTGACTTTGTGATCCACCCACCTCGGCCTCCCAAAGTGCTGGGATTACAGGTGTAAACCACCGTGCTTTTGACTAGAATTCAGAGTAAGAAATTCATCTTACGTTACACAAGTACACACAAATAATTCAAGTAACATTTCAAAAATCTAAATTTATCTTAGTACCTGTAATAAGGTAGTAAGGTATTCTAATTCTCTGAGCTATTCTATTCCATCCTATCCCATTACTTTTTTTTTTTTTTTTTGAGGTAAGGTTCTGCTTTGTCACCCATGTTGGAGCACAGTAACACAATCATAGCTTACTGCAACCTCAATCTACTGGGCTCAGGTGATGCTTCTGCCTTAGCCTCCCAAGTAGCTGGGACTGCAGGGGTGCACCACCATGCCTGGCTAATATTTCAAATTTGTTTTTGTAGAGACAGGGTCTCACTGTGTTTCCCAGGCTGGTCTCTAACTCCTGGGCTCAAGAAATCCTCCTTTCTTGGCCTCCTAAAGTGCTGGGATTACAAGTGTCAGCCACCATGCCCACTACATTTTTTTTCTTTTAATGTTAGTCTCAGCATTTATTTCATACCACAAACGCATCATGACTTGCAGCTTATTAAAACACTGCCTTGAAGACAGATCCCAGCCTAGAAGCTGTACAAGCCTTTGCATAAACATGCCTAAAAGCAGATCTTCCTAGCTGAGGGAGCCCAGGAAGAGCCCTCCTCACTATGTGTTGGACACACCCACTACCCAAAAAACAGACTATTTTCCTGGCACCTTTCCAACCTTGTGGATTACATAGTAAAGTCTCCCTTAGACACATACCACCTGGGGGGTGCGTGTGGTGGCTCATGCCTGTAATACCAGCGCTTTGAGAGGCCAAGGCTGCCAGATCACCTGAGGTCAGGAGTTCAAGACCAGCCTGGCCAACATGGGGAAACCCTGTCTCTACTAAAAATACAAAAATTAGCCAGGCATGGTGGCAGGAACCTGTAATCCCAGCTACTAGGGAGGCTGAGGCAGGAGAGTCCTTGAACCCAGGAGGCGGAGGTTGCAGTGAACGGAGATCATGCTACTGCACTGCAGCCTGGACAACAGAGCAAGACTGTGTCTCAAAAAAAGAAAAAGAAGAAAGAGAGAGAGAAAGAAGAAACAAAAGGAAGGAAGGAAGGAGGAAGGAAGGAAGGAAGGAAGAAGGAAGGAAAAAGGAAGGAAGGAGGAAGGAAAAAGGAAGGAAGGAGGAAGGAAGGAAGGAGGAAGGAAGAAGGAAAGGAAAGGAAGGAAGGAAGGAAGGAAGGAAGGAAGGAAGGAAGGAAGGAACCACCTGGGAAGCTGGGCGTCTAGAGCCTTCAAACTGTGCCCACCTCATTAATAATACTACATACAGCAAAAGCAAGTTCCAAAATTAGAAATAACACAAAGAAACAAAAAGATTTGTACACAACATTTATTACAATTTATAATATTAGGAGAAAGAACAAACAGTATTGGCCAAAGATCTGAACCAATTTTAATGTGATCAATAAAAATAATTCACAGATGAGCTGATGTTCCCCTTATCCTTCACCACTCATCAGTTCGATCACCCTTCCAAAAAAAGAATGGAGGAAAGGCACGAAAACCCTACTGTAAGTGCAACATGCCTGAGTTCCTATGAAGCCTGCAGTTGAGACAACAAAGCCTCCCTGGTCTCTCCAGGTGGAGTACGGCACTGGTTCAGAGGAAACTGTAGCAGCCTCTCTGGGGGCAGTTACATTGAGAAGTCCCTTCCTGCTGGAGGTTCTCAGCCTGAATCTGCTATTCCAGTGGCTTGGTGGGAAGCAGGAGACACCATGTAAACATATCCTTAAAAAATAGGAGAGGTGAACAAAAGACAGGCAGGAAAGACACAGATGGAGGCAGTGTGAGTGACAAAAACTCTGAACTCTTTCTGTTTTTTAACTTCTACAAACTTTTCTATATACTCTGTCCCAGGTGGCTGGGCAAATACTTGAGCCTTGAAATGAAATCTTGGAGTATTCAGTAACTCGCACCAGCTAAATCAATCATGAATTGTGTAATAAACTTTAGCCTTTGGCATTTCAGAATTTCAAGACTTTTATTGCGGCAGCTGTTCTTATAGTTTATCTTCTAAGTTATTTGTGTTTTCTTTATAATCTGTGTATACTTTTTATAAAAGGAGTAATACATGAACCTCTGAGTCAGGGAATAGAGCTAGAATTGTATGTTTTTTGCTATATGCAAATGATAATTTACTTTGTTTCATATTTTTACTTTCAAAATTATTTTTAAAAGGTAGTATTTCAGATAGATGATATAGTGTTTAATTACTGTTTAACAAACATCATTGCTGTGTGAGATCTCCCAGGAAACTTGTAATCACGCAAACATTGTTTTTGTAAACTTTTAAAAATCAAATTTACCTTCATACTTGTCTAGCAATTATCAATATGTGGGCAAAGGACTCACACAGAAGATCTATTAAAGAAGAACTAAATATATTGAACAAAATTATACAATAGAATCAGTCTTTCAACAATATGACTACTCCAAACCTCAATATTACTAAATTTATTGTTTTGCTAATCTTGTTCCACATATTTCAATTTTTTTAAATGAGTTTCTCTAAGGACTTCTGTGAGCGAGAAGAGTTTGTATGTTTCTTTAACATTTTCATTTCTCTTCTTATGTTCAAATGCTCTGACCATTTTTCTTTGAGTTGTCTATATTGTTATTTCTGAAATATATTAGTTCTTTAGATATGTGAATTTTAATCATATCTGGTATATATACTATAGATATAATTCCTAATTTATCACCATTATTTTAACTTTATTGATTCATTTTAATTTTTAATATTCAAGTTTATGAAAATATTTAGTAATAACTTTTATACCTCATTAATTACTAAGTAGGAATATTCTTCCTCGTATCTAATATATAGTCTGATATAATTCTTAAAAATATTTTTGCAGTCGCATTGTACTTAGCTCTGCATTTCATCAGGAGTTTATTTTTCTAACGCATGGGGTAGAAACCTAAATTTTTTTCCTGAAGTAGCAAAGCATCATTTATTGAACTGTCATCGGTCTATTCATACCACATTTCCCACTGATTTGAATATTGTCTTAATTGTGTGCTAAATTTATGAGTATGTGGATCTGCTGAATTCTGTGATATTGACCAGTCTATCAAGATCAATATTGGCATGATACTGTTTTAATTGCTATAAATTTATAGAAATATATGTTATGATATGTAGCAAATCAACCATCCCTCACTATTATTTTTGTATTCTTAAAGTAATGCTGGATTGCAAGAATAAGTATATCTCCAAATTTCAGTGTCTGAAACAAACAGAAGTTTGTTTCTCGTCCATGTAACCAAGGCAAATGCTCCTGGTTGGCAGGTGGCTTCCTCCAGGCAGTAAATCTACAGCCCAGGCTCCCTGCATCTTATGGCTCCAATCACTTTGGATCTCATCGTCGCCTGCACATTGCCATACACAGGGAAGGAGAAGAGATGGAGAAGGCAAAGACTTTCTGAAAGCCGTGGCTAAAAGCTGGCATGTGTCACATCAGCTCACATTCCATTGGTGAGAACATAGAATATGTAAGGCAAAGAGAAACCCAGGAAACTATCGCGTGCCGTTCTTAGATCTCTCCATCCCTAGCTGGTCTGCCTTCTTCTCTCCACATTTCTGAGTCTTTCTTCTTTGCTTAATTTACAATGTCCAGGGTGTTTTAGTGAAAGTAATCTTCTCTGTCACACTCCGCACAGCAGTTTCTCCATATCCTTTTAATATATTCCTTTTTTTGTGGTTAGAATTGAAATAATGGTTACTACTACCGAAACCCCTAAATAATAAGTACCTTGATGGAAGGGAAAAATGCAAATGACAGACTTCTAGCAAAAGTTAAAAACAAAAATAAGAAAGAAAGAAAGAAAAAATAGGAAAGAAGAAAGAAAGAAAGATAGGAAGGAAGGAAGGAAGGAAAGAGAGAGAGAAAGAAAGGACAAAAGAAAGAAAGAGAAAGAAAAAGAAAGAAGAAAGAAGAAAAAAGAAAGAGAAAGAAAGAAAAAAGAAAGAGAAAGAAAGGAGGAAAGGAAGGAAGGAGGGAAGGAAAGAAGGAAGGAAGGAGCTGTGTATAGTGGTACAAAGAGGAAATCCCATGTTGGGATGAGAATTTGAGAGTCTTAATTCACTCCCTTATAGAACTAAAGTCACGAGCCCTCAGTGGTTAAACTTTGAGGAACGTGATATCTAATTATCAAGGTATTAGCATTCCAGGTCTCTCTTGTAACTTTAACAACTACAAAGTACAGACACAGACATGGCCCACTATTGTCATCTGAGAGCAGGTGGTGCATGAGTGTGAACTGGTAACTTGGGAAGAGGAGCCAAGTAGAACCGTACATGAAAAGGTGTAGCATCTCCTGTAACCATGCACAAGGCAGAATGTGGCAGCTTCATTCTCTACCACCATTCTTTACCCTATTTCAACAATTTCTAAGGCTGGTGTGCCTGTGAGGAAAATATAAGATCTGGACAGATGGGATGAGGACATCTGGGAGGAGCCCCAACTCTCTGAGATTACCCCTATACCTCACTCCGTGCCCCCAGCCACATCAGTGAGGTGTTTCTTCTCATTTTCAAGCTCATTTAACTAGGACATAGTTTAGATATCAGGGAGAGTTTTCTAAACCAGATTAAAGATCCTCTCTGCCTGTTATTTCCAATCTGTGCTCTGAGGACCCAGGATTAATTGGAGAGCTGGGCAGGTGGCAGATCTCAGAATTAGTGACGTCACAGCAAACCCAAGAATTCACAGAGCAAAGCCCAAAATAATTTTTTTGCACTGCTTATCAGTAGATTCCAAGTGAAATGAAATTAACTTAGTTGATTAGGTTTTCAAGGGTTTTGGTGACAGAACCCACCCCCTCCTCCATATTTACTGATGAAGAGCCCATAATTTTTTAGCCTCTGAGGATTTAGCCTCTGACAGGGACCAGGTGTAGGAATCAACAGGAAGGATGCATGTGTGTGATGTCTCTAAGGGTGTATTTTGAAGAAGTCAGGATTGGAGTTCCCCAACCGCTCTTCCTCTTTTTAAAATGTCCAAGTGCAATGGCCCTGTCAGTACTGGCTAAGTAAAGGAAATTTCCCTTGCAAGGTGAAGCCAGATTAGTGAACGCAACACTTCTAGGAAATATGAACAAATGGGGTCCCACAATCTCAATGATCCTAGTATTTATCTTTCTAGCCTAATAAAGAATAATGTGTACCCCAGGGAAGGAGACCCTAGATGCTTATAAATAAGCCAAATAGAAGGTGAGATCCTCTTCCTTCGTGAGACCGAATGAACAGCTCAAGATTCCACAGCCAGCCACATATTCCCAACCACCTGCGGCAAGCCAGAATAGCAGCAGAATATATAATTTAGGTAAAGAGAGAGAGAAAAAAAGTCAAAGAGACAGAGATAGAGAGAATTAGAGCTATATAAATCACCAAGATATTTAGTATAATTTTTTTTATTGGAGAGGTAATTTAACCCTTTTCCCATTTAGAAAAAAAAGAAAAGTACAGCTCACTGCCAGCACTCATTTAATTTTACATAAACACATTCTTTGAGGCTGAAGCCAATCTGACTGATTTTCAATGTGAAAATAGAATATAAAAACTGTTATTGAAGCTATTTCTAAACAGAACTAACATCAGAATCGTCTGAATAATCAGAATCGTCTATTTCAGAAAACTCGGATTCATCAAATAATATTCGGCCAACAACTGTTCCAGAGTGATGTTAACATCACGTGTAGAATTGCTACATTTTCTGGGTTTTGATATTTTCCGTGATCAAGAATTACTATATTTTGTAAATGGAAATACCACTACTAAAAACGGAATGCTATGAATAAATGATGTCTTTTTTCCCCAAAGTTGATATACCAGAGCAATGCGAAAATAATAAAAGCCAGATATTTTGTGGCACTTATCTCGGGGTAAAGGCTGCAGCCGCAAGCACCACCGGCAATCATTCTTTTTTTTTTTTTTTTTTTTAGTAGAGACGGGGTTTCACCGTGTTAGCCAGGATGGTCTTGATATCCTGACCTCGTGATCCGCCCGCCTTGGCTTCCCAAAGTGCTGGGATTACAGGCGTGAGCCACCGCTCCCGGCCTGGCAGGCATTCTTGAGGCAAACGGGAAATGGGGTAAGTTACACAATCGATACAGCTCCGTCATCGTGGTTTAATTACTTTTCCACGTACCATGTTTCCTGACAGGTAGAACGATCAGCCTGGGCCTCCGTTTTTCATTCTACAAAGAATGAAGTGCATGAACTGTCCTCTATAGAATTGTGGAAAAAGTTGTTTTTATTGAGTTGTGGTTATCTTTGTCTTCATGGTCTAATTACGGAAATAAATGCTTTTCCGAGTCTCCGGGGATGGTCTGCCCTAGTCCAGCTCTCTGCAGTGTCTTTCTGGGTTTTTCCTCAGTGAACGGGAGGAACATTGGCAGCACTTGTGGTCTGCACCAAGAACTGAATCGAATTTCCATGTGTTATTGAATGTTCACAAAGACCTTGTACAGCGAGTGTTACTACCTCTGGTCAATGATTCAACTCAAGGCTCAGAAAAGTCAAGTGTCTTGTCCAGGGACACTTAGTCAGAAGTGAATCCAAGGTTTAAGCTCAAGTCTGCCTAACTCTGAATTTCACAGCCTTTTGCTACATATGGCGAATAATATATCCCTGAGCACTAAAGGCAGACTCCAAGGATCTTGTCTCTGCAATCATCATTCTGGCCATAATTTATGAAAAGCAACCCAAAGTATGTGATGTAATAAAAAGTACTATCTATGAGTTTACCCTTCCAAAAATTGAACTGAATTCTGAGCTCTAAATTTGGAATCAAAAGAACTTTTCTCTGCACTAATCATTTGGAACATCACTTAAAGAAAACAACGAAAAACTGGTGTCCCCTGAGAGAAAGCAATACAAAACATTATGCATAAAGAAATCCTTCCAAAAAATAAACCAAATCCAGTCAAATCTCTAGTTTTGACTCCTAGCTTACCGGAAATACGTGATGGGAAAAAAATGAAATGACACCACTATGATTCAATCAGCCAAATCCAGCATATGCAAATTTCTACCAGATAAATGGTTTAGTTTCTTCCCCAAACAAATGGCACAAGGAAACGGAGGTAAGAATGGGATGCTGTTATAGATTTTAAAAGATTTAAGAAAGTATAAACTAAATACACTATGTGCATCCTCTCTGAACGTGCTTCAAACATATCAAGGGGTCAATGAGCAGTTTTGAAACAATAAGGGAATTTGAACACTGAATGGTTGTCAGAAGATAGTAAGAGATCATTATTAATTTTACTAGACATAATGATGTTCTGATTTTGTTTTTTTTTTAAAAAAAAAACAGTGTTATTTCCTTTATAGATACATCATATAGTATTAACTAATGAAATGCTTTGATATCTGGAACGTTTAAAAAATATTCCCGATGGAGTAAGTGCAAAGAAACAGGTAAGCAAAATGCTGATAATTGCTGAAACACAGGATGTGTACCTGGGGCTTCATTTACTATCTCTTCATTTTCTATTTTGATATTTGTTGGACATTCTCATAAAAAGGAAAGTTATGTTTTATTTTCTCATAAGCTAGTAATGAAATAGCCCTACGTAACTGATATTGTAGAGACAAGAATAGGTGTAATAGAGCTTAAGGTTTTCATTTAAAAAACTATCTGTAGACTTCAATGGATCTTAGGTGGCATCCATGCAATAACACTCGTGGAACATGCAGGACAGGTGTGGAGCTCCATCTTCACACAGTGACATTTTTTATGCTTCTGTTTTCCCTAAGAGTGGAGTGAGAGGATGATTATTTTATATCATGGACTTCTTCCCTGCTATACTTTTTTTAATTATTTTACTTTCACTTCTGGGATACATGTGCTGAGCATGCAGGCTTGTTTACATAGGTATACATCTGCCATGGTGGTTTGCTGCACCTATCAACCCATCATACAGGTTTTAAGCCCTGCATGCATTAGGTATTCGCCCTAATGCTCTCCCTCGCCTTTCCCCCCACCCCCTGATAGCCCCCAGTGAGTCATATTCCCCTCCCTGTGTCCATGTGTTCTCATTGTTCAACTCCCATTTATGAGTGAGAATATGTGGTGTTTAGTTTTCTGTTCCTGTGTTAGTTTGCTGAGAATGATGTTTTCCAGCTTCATCCATGTCCCTGAAAAGGACATGAGCTCATTCTTTTTTATGGCTGCATAGTATTCCACGGTGTTATATGTGCCACATTTTCTTAATCCAGTCTGTCATTGATGGACATTTGGGTTGTTTCCAAGTCTTTGCTATTGTAAATAGTGCTGCAATAAACATATGTGTGCATGTGTCTTTGTAGTAGAATGATTTATAATCCTTTGGGTATATGCCCAGTAATGGGACTGATGGGTCAAATGGTATTTCTGGTTCTAGATCCTTGAGGAATTGCCACACTGTCTTCCACAATGGTTGAACTAATTTATACTCCCACCAACAGGGTAAAAGCATTCCTATTTCTCCACATCCTCTCCAGCATCTGTTGTTTCCAAATGTTTTAATGATTGCCATTCCACCTGGCGTGAGATGGTATCTCATTGTGGTTTTGATTTTCATTTCTCTAATGACCAGTGATGATAAGCTTTTTTTCATATGTTTGTTGGCCACATAAATGTCTTCTTTTGACTTTTATGTGGAAACAAATTTAACTGCACAGAGAGGTGAAAATTAATTAATAACTTTTAAAGTAATTCCCTAAGTTTCTAAGGATCTATATGTTTCCATCTGACTTTATTTTATTTAAGCTCTTGATTGATGCTGCATTTGGAGCAGGTTCATGAACATGAATAGAGTTAATCTGGGACAGATTTCCCTCATTTGATTTTTTCACTGTTTCCATCACAGAACTTATTTCATGCTCACCATGTTTGCAGGCATTGAGCTTGGTACTGGAGCCACAGAGCTGGATCAGACAGACTTGTGCAAATATTTCAGGTTTTTTTTGTGGGGGGGTCATATTTATAGATAAATAACAGTAAAGAGTGACGGGTTCTTATGAAAATGCATACACAGTGAAGTAGAGGGTGAAAAGGAGGGATGTGTTCTATGAGGAGGAAGAGTGATAAGAAAGTGTAAGGGGATGTGTCTGTGTCTAGACATATGTGTGTTCACGTGTGTGCGTGCTTGTGTGTACTGCATGTGTATATGTGTGGCCATGCACCTGTGTGCATGTTCATGTGTGTGTGTGTATGTGTCTGTGTTGAGGACTAAATTAATTGGGCTTATGGAAGCAGGGAGCCACTGATAGGTTTAATTAGAGACTGACATGATATGATAGTTTAGGTGGATTTCTCTGGGGGCTGTGTTGAGGGACAGTGGGGAGGAGAGCTAGAAGGAAGAAAAGGACACATGCATAACAGAAGCAATATCTGTCTATGGGATGGTGGAAAGAATCAGAAAAGACTTAATAAAACATGTGACACTTTAACTGAATCTTGAAATAGACAAGTGTTGGAGGAGGGAGTTGGACCAGATACTTCATGCAAAGGGAAGAAAAGTGCACAAACAAAATATGAGAAACAAGGCAGACAGGCATTTTTTTAAAATTTTCGCACCCACTGATAGACCAGTGATGCATTCACATCGTCTGCATTCATGATCAACAAAAGTGCTTTCCTAGAACATGAACCTCAACCCAAGTGTCGCCTCAAGTAGTGTATGCATGAACTCAAGCATTAAATTAGAATTGATTTTTTAAAAAACTCACACAAACAGATGTATTATTTAAAAATCTTTAAAGCAGGTTTAAACAGTTTTCAGGATTAAAAGCAGCCACTATTAGAAAGAACAAAAATACATTTGACATAAATATAAGGAGCCTCAATAGAACCTCCTGTACCCAGTCATTGTCAATGCCACATCCATTCATTCACCAGCCCTTATATCAATGCTTGCTGGGCTCACTTACCACGATCAGCACGTGCATGTCCTTATCTGAAAGCTTGCCACTCAAATGTGCTCAGTCTTACCTGTGTGGCTGGGAGTGTTGGGGATTTAATGTCAAGGGAAAGAATCTTCCATCAATGAATGATGAAAGTTAGTTTTCACAACTTCCGGTCCCCTTGGCCCTCATCAAAGGGCTCCAGGTGAGGTTTGGGCTCCTTGCTATCCTCCGAGTTTCCACGGTAGTTTTAAGCACCATTGCCCGTGGTAATGGCTGACATTGATACTGCACTTTTTTTTTATTTAAGATGGAGTTCCCCTCTGCCACCCAGACTGGAGTACAGTGGCGCGATCCTGGCCATCGCAACCTCCGCCTCCCAGGTTCAAGCGATTCTCCTGCCTCAGTCTCTCAAGTAGCTGGGATATGGGCACCTGTCACCATGCCCAGCTAATTTTTTTAAAATTTATTTTTAGTAGAGATGGGGTTTCACCATGTTGGCCAGGCTGGTCTCGAACTCCTGACCTCAGGTGATCCACCCACACTTTTTATTGTTTGCCTACACTTTCTAGACTTGCTTCATCAGCCTACTCCGTTTCTGGTTGATATGGTTTGGTTGTGTCCCCACTCAAATCTTATCTAGAAGTGTAATCCCCAAGTCTCAAGGGAGGGACCTGGTGTGAGGTGATTGGATTGGGGGGTGGTTCCCGCCATGCTGTTCTCATGATAGTGAGTGAGTTCTCATGAGATCTGATGGTTTTATAAGGCAGTTTTCCCTATTCTTGCTCACTCTTCTCTCTCTTTCTGCCATGTGAAGAAGGTCCTTGCTTCCCCTTCACCTTCTACCATGATTGTAAGTTTCCTGAGGCCTCCCCTCAGCCATGCACAACTGTGAGTCAATTAAACCTCTTTCCTTTATAAATTACTCAGTCTCAGGTCGTATCTTTATAGCAGTATGAGAATGGACTAATACACTGGTCTATCCTTCATCCAAATTAACTACCTGCACTGCAGTCCTTGTCTCAGGCTCTGCTTTGAGGGACCCCAACTGTGACAGCCGCATTAGAATGCATCACATACTGCAGTGAAATTCTAGAGTGGGTGTTGTCAGGTGGTGATGATTGTTAGATATGTCAGTCTGTTTTCAGGCTGCTGATAAAGACATACCTGAGACTGGGTAATTTATAAAGGAAAAGGAGGTTTAATGGACTCACAGTTCCACATGGCTAGGGAGGCCTCACAATCATGGCAGAAGGTGAAAGGCACGGCTTACAGGGTGGCAGCAAGAGAGGAAATGAGAACCAAGTGAAAAGGTTTCTGCTTATAAAACCATCAGCTCTTGTGAGACTTATTCATTACAATGAGAACAATATGGGGGAAACTGCCCCCATGATTCAATTATCTCCCACCAGATCCCTCCTACAACACATGAGAATTGTGGGTGCTACAATTCAAGATGAGATTTGAGTGGGGACAAAGTCAAACCATATCATTAGATAGGACACTGGAGAAAGGCAAGAAAGAAAAGACATCTGAAGAATGAAGGGAGCCAAAGAAATGCCAACATTTTGCTTTTTGAAGAAAAGCTAAATTAAAGTCAAAATGGATTTATCAATTTCCTTGGGTTCGTGAATGTACAGAACTTTATTAAGGTAAGTCAAAACTTCTCTTTTTATACTTAACCCAACTCAAATTGGCTTATGTAGGGGAAACAAGAAATCAAAACCCAAAGGAACATGCCAGTTCAGGAATATACAGTTAGCTAAGCTTCTTACTGAACAAATAAAATCACAAAGCATGTATGCAGATAGACCACAAGTGACTATAGTGAGGTAGTTTATTTCAGCTCTATTTATCTGGAATTAATGCTACACCATCTGACATATTAAGCAGTTATGCATCAGGTATCAGTAGTTACATCTTCCAGTGCCTCTTACAGTTGCCCCTGATGGTATATCTACTCGAAAGTATGTAAGTGCACTCACATTCTTCAACATTTCCTCATTAAAGCCAGATGGAATTGGGCTTCTTATACTTGCTATTCATTCATTTAATATTATTAGAGTGTCTACCATGTAGTAGGCATTTTCTGTAAATGCTGGGGATATCTTGATAACAAAGACAAAACCTTTCCCCACATAGATCTTAAATTTTAGTGCGAAGAGAAAGACAATGACTATTTTGAAGTTACGAAGGGGATTTGCTGATTTGAATGCCTACTTAGGAGATTCAGAAGTGGTTGGATTTAGGTGCTTAGATTAAGTCATCAGGAATTTCCACCTTCTACCCATAACAGTGAGCATCTGAAACTTACAAAACAATATTTCCTATTTTACTTCATTTTATTTTAGAGACAGGGTCTTGCCTGTTGCTCAGTCTGGAATGCAGTGGCACAATCATAGCTCACTGCAGCCTCAATTTCCTGGGCTCAAGGGATCCTCCCAAAGTGCTGGGATTACAGGTATAAGCCACCATGCCCGGCCAAGATACTCTATTTTTAATTTACAGTTTATATCAAGACACTGAGCCAGGGGAATTTGAAGTCACCCATCCAGTGGTCTTAGCATCTTTGCTCACACACTGAATGACTTGATGTAAATGACTGAATCAGACTTGTTTGCTTATAGCTGACACCACCGAGCAAACATATTCTCTCTTTCTCTGGGACAACACCTGATATGGTCTGGCTCTGTGTCCCCACCCACATCTCATCTTAAATTGTAATCCAAATTGTAATCCCCACATGTTGGGGGAGGGACCTCATGGGAAGTGATTGGATCATGGTGGTGGTTCCCCCTGTGCTATTCTCGTGAAAGTGAGTGAGTTCTCATGAGATCTGATGGTTTTATAAGGGGCTCTTCCCCCTTCATTTTGCACTTCTGTCTCCTGCTGCCTTGTGAAGAAGGACATGTTTGCTTCCCCTTCCACCATGATTGTAAGTTTCCTGAGGCCTCCCCAGCCATGCCAAACTGTGAGTTAATTAAACCTCTTTCCTTTATAAATTATCCAGTCTCGGGTATTTCTTTATAGCAGCATGAAAATGGACTAATACAGCACCTATCTCCCAGTATTGTATTTTCACAATGGAAGTTTTAATCCAGGGATGTCTAATCTTGTGGCTTCCTAGGCCACACTGGAAGAAGAATTGTCTTGGGCCACACATAAAATACACTAACACTAATGATAGCTGAGAAGCTAAAGAAAAATCACAAATAAATCTTACAATGTTTCAAGAAAGTTTACGAATTTGTATTGGGCTATCCTGGGCTGCGTGCAGCCATGGGCTATGGGTTGGACAAGCTTGGTTTAATCCATAGATGGAGCATTCTACACAGCTCCCTTAAAGATGTTCCAGAAGTGCTGACTCTGTGTCAGGCACCATGTTCACCACTTAGATGTTCGTTTAATCCTTACAAAAGAGCCATGGAGCATGGACTGTTACTGTGGCAGATGTGTTAGCCTCCTGTGGTTGCCATAACAAAATACTACAAACTGCGTGGCTTAAAACACCAGGAATTTATTCTCACTGTTCTAAAAGACGGAAGTCCGAAATCCAGGAGTCAACAGGGCTGTGCTCCTTTTTGAGGCTCTAGGGAAGAATACTTCCTCCCCTCTTCCAGCTTCTGCTGGCCACAGGTGTTCCTCGGCTTGTGGCCACATCACTCCAATTGCTGCCTCCATCCCACATAGCCTTCTTCCCTATGTGTGTGTTCTCACATGGTCTTTGTATAAGGATATCAGTTATGGGATTTAGTTCCTACCATAATCCATCATGAACTCTACTGCACTAATTACGTCTACAAAGGCCTTATTGCCAAATAAGGTCACATTCTGGGGTTTCAGGTGAATATAAATTTTGGAAGGACACTATTCAACCCAGTACAACAAGTAAAATTTAAAAAGGCACCCTTTTACCTTGGCATGTTATCTCACTTGATTTTTATAACAGCCCTGTAGATTAAACAGATAATATGTTATATTCCCACTTCTAGATATCATCACCCATTATTTGAGAGAATGGAAATGAAGTTCAGGGCTGTTAACACTCCTGCCACTGAAACATCCCAGGCCAGTGACCTTTTCATGTCTGACCTAACAGGTGGTTTCCAACCACAGTTACTTGTGACATCATTCCATCACTCCCCATACACATTCCCTGTAGATCAACTTATCTGGCCCTACAATTATAGTTACAGGGAATTTTACATTCTTCATCTTCCACAGGCAACTGAATCTTCTGGGACAAAAAGCATATGTTCTCCCATAGTAATAAAATTTCCCTTTTTTAGCCTGGCATGTGACTGCCAATAATAACACTTCCCAGACTCTCAGGTGTCCACGTCTATCCAAAGGGAAATATAGTCAGTGATAACTTCCAGACATAGATGAAACATGCCACACCTTATAGTCACTTTATGGGGTTCATTCTCTCTTCCCATAGACTGTCATGCTGTCATCATGGCTGGATCTGATACGGCCACCGTGGACCTTGAGGTGACCTCGGGAATGGAGACAGTGCATGGGAGAGAATCACATTGGAAGGGGCCTGGGTTTCTGAAGACCCTGTAAGACAGATCTCCTTGCAGCCCTGACTGCCCACATTAGGGCTTTTATGTTAGGGTGAAGTTACCTTGCATTGTCATATAAGCAATTGCTATTTGTGGTGTCTTGCAAATAAACCTATTCTGATCTAGTATGTTTCCTAAAAAACAAAAGTTTGAACCCAGCTCTTTACGTGTTACATGTTCTGAATACAAAAATAAGACCCAGTTTCTGCCCCCTAGCAGGACCCAAAACCCCTCAGTGAAGGCATACACCATAGGAATAATCTCACAAGTACTTTAGCCCCCTACCTAATGCAAACCTACTGTTCATAACTGGATTTTCTGAGAGTGGAGACCAACCCAACTGCACCCTATTTAAGACTGGAACCAACGGACAGTAAAAACAAAGTTAAATTTGTCTCAAAAGCAATACCTTTATTGCTGCCTCTGCAGAATTGAAGAAACATGATTGGATCTGAGGTAAAAATTGTCTTCCTGATACTTCACACAAAAACTCGAACTGTGGGTCCGCTCATATGGCAAACTGAGCTGTCTTTTATCTGGACAAGCACCGAGAGCAGAAGTCTGCCAACAGAAGCCACTTGTGACCCCAACATACAGATATTAACCCTGCCTAACAGGGGAATATGGGCAAATGTCTGTCATCATCCTGCCCTCCCCTCAATACACATCCCTCCCCTACCTGCAAGGATGAATGACCATAAAGGCAGTTGGATGCTGGCAAGTCTGTGGAGAAATAGGAACGCTTTTACACTGTTGGTGGGAATGTAAATTAGTTCAACCACTATGGAAGACAGTATGGCAATTCCCCAAAGACCTAGAACCAGAAACACTATTTGACCCAGCAATCCCATTACTGGGTATATACCCAAAGGAATATAAATCATTCTGTTATAAAGATACATGCAAGCATATGTTCATTGCAGCAATATTCACAATAGCAAAGACATGGAATCAATTCAAATCCCCATCAATGATAAACTGGATAAATAAAATGTGGTACATATACACCATGGAATACTATGCAGCCACGAAAATGAACGAGATCATGTCCTTTGCAGGGACATGGATGGAGCTGGAAGCCATTATCCTCAGCAAACCAACACGGGAACAGAAAACCAAACACTACATGTTCTCACTTATAAGTGGGAGCTGAACAATGAGAACACATGAACACAAAGAGAGGAACAATACACGTCAGGGCCTGTTGTAGGGGCAGGGAGAGAGAGAGCATCAAGATAAATAGCTAATGCATACGGGGCTTGATACCTCGGTGATGGGCTGATGGGTGCAGCAAACCACCATGGCACACTTTCACCTGTGTAACAAACCTGGACGTCCTGCACATGTATCCTGGAACTTAAAATTAAAGTAAATTTAATTTAATTTAATTTAAAGAAAGTTTGAGTTTAAGGCAAAAAAAAAAAAAAAGAAGAGGCAGTCGATCCCAACACTCCTGACAGGGAAAAACTTCCTATTTTCCTGGTCCAGACAGAATAAGCTGGAGCTGCTGTTGGGGAGGATAAAGCAGAAATGATGTCTTTAATAAAGATGAGGCCAGGCACCATGGTTAACACCTGTAATCCCATCACTTTGGCTGGCTCAGGTGGGAGGATCACTTGAGGCCAGGAGTACAAGACCAACTTAGGCAACATATCAAGACCCTGTCTCTTACAAAAAATAAAACTAAAAAAGTTATCCAAGTGTGGTGGTGCCGGCCTGTAGTCCCAGCAACTTAGGAGGCTGGGGCAGGCGGATTGCTTGAGCTCAGGAGTTCAAGGCTGCAGTGAGCTATGGCTGCACCACTGCACTCCAGCCTGGGCAACAGAACTAGACCTTGTCTCTTAAAAGATAACATAAAATAAAATAAAAATAAAAAATAAAGATGAGCAAACCATGGGACCCATGATTTGAAATGGTGAAGTAATGACAAGTGGAGGAAGGAGTCTGAATAACTACAATGAGATTGATCCATGGATGAGTTCACAAGGAATATGGTCCTTGTCTGTGTCTCCTACTCCCCATTATTATTAATATTATTATATGAATTGATGACATGTCTCTTCTCTTCCTCCTCCTCATTATTATTTTATTGGTGACAAGGTCTGTTTCCATTTCTTATTTAATATAATAATTCCCTGCAATCCAAGCAAGCAAAATGTACATATTTTTTAAAAAAGCTAAACAGCCCAGAAGTCACACACACATTTCTTTGGCTGGGGTGTACATATGCTCTGGGGGACACCACTCTGCCATGTGTCCTGCTGTCAGCAACACCAAGTGCACTTCTCAGCGCCAGTCCACACCGTGGGCATCTCTCTGGGCAAAGAGCTGTATCTAACACAAAAGGGGCTTCCATCAGGGAAACAGATGAGCTTGTTAATGAAGGGGATGAAAATCGGAGCCGTAATGAGTTACTGTATCATAAATGAATGCAAATTACATTGTCAGTGCTATTTACAATTTCACACGGCACAGAGTCTTGTAATTATGTCTATTCAATTATTCCATTCACAGAAATGTTCAGTAAGGGCTTCTCACCATGGCCAAAACCCATTTGGAAGCTCCGGTTGTACACGGAAGTTAGAACTGGCTCTGAAAGGATTAATCACCACATACTCAGTAATAAAAACATGGGTGAAGGGTCTAAGATGGGTCTGTATCTGAGAAATAGACGCTTAAGAGTTTAGAGACAGCATATAGTGACTGTGGGCTGTGTGGTCACCGAGTTGAAGCACTGAGTTGAACTCTAAATATCAACGTGGGTCAGGTCAGCAAAAGCTTCTGCAGAAGTAAAACATTGCAAATAAACTGTGACGACAGGTTTCTGCAAGGTTTAAAAATCCCTTCAGGCTGGGCGCGGTGGCTCACACCTGTAATTCCAGCACTTTGGGAGGCTGAGGCAGGTGGATCATGAGGTCAGAAGTTCAAGAGCAGCCTAGCCATGATGGTGAAACCCCGTCTCTACTAAAAATACAAAAATTAGCTAGGCATGGTGAGGGGCACCTGTAATCCCAGATACTCGGGAGGCTGAGGCAGAGAATTGCTTGAACCCAGGAGGTGGAGGTTGCAGTGAGCCGAGATCGCACCACTGCACTCCATCCTGGGCGACTGAACGAGACCCTGTCTCAAAAAAAAAAATCCCTTCAAAGGTAGATTTTTTTTTTCATAAAATCTGTAAGAGGGCTGGGTGCAGTAACTCATGCCTAAAATCCCTGCGACTCTGGGGGCTGAGACTGGAGGATCCCTTAAGCCCAGGAGTTCAAGGTTAGCCTGGGCAACACAGTGAGACACCTTCTTTTAAGAAAATAAATAAAAGTAGAAAACAATCTGTAAATATTTTAGTTTATTTCTTTGAAAAGGACGATTTTTCAAACATGATCACAAGACCATATCATGTCTAAAATGATAAAAAAATTTATATTATCACAGGCCTAATAAGCACTTGTTTTTGCAAGTATGTGAACCTATTTTAAATCTCTTCTATACATGTGGGATTTTATATTTTATATTCATAAATCATTGTATCAGCCTTTCATTTCACTTTGCTTCCTTTAAACCCAGCAAATCCCATATTTAGAACCACCTTCACTAAACTGTCCACAGCTCCTTCTGATTGGGCTTGGTTTCCTGCAAGATGTAAGCTAAATTGCTCAGCAGACAGAAGAAGACGTAGTTTGTCCTAAAAGCGGAGTTTAGTTACCATCCTGGTGGAAAATTAAAGCATTGACTGACATAAGTAAAATCTGCTTTTGCTATGTTATAAATAAAGCTTTTGGCTACCATAACGAAGGTCAGAATTGCAACTGCACAGAGGACAATAGTAAGCACCAGGATTATCTTAATCTATAGAATTTTCAGGGCAATGTTGGACAACTCCAGATGCCATCAGGCATTTTTTATGTAGAAGCACAGATGTCACGTGCCTGCTCTACAAAAGCTCCAATTCTGTCCTGGCACTATAGCGCCTGTGCTTGGAAAGTCTTAGCAGAATCATGACTGGACATAGCGGCTTCAATCCTTCATTGATATGAGTTGGGGCACAGGGGAGCAGCTTACTTCCTGCTGGGAGAGGTGGTTGGAAAAGAGCTATAAACCGAAACATCTCCAAAAACCATCCTTATTCTTCAGCCATTTGGAATCAGAATTTAGACTCTGTTGCTTCCAAACCTGCCTTCTATGGTCTTGTTGCCATGCGGCCACTTAGTAAACACTCGCACATGCTGGCCACCCACATCCATCTCTGTTTCTGAAACAAGCCAAGCCCATTCCTGCCTGCGGGCTGTGCCCTGGAGTGTCCTGTGCCTGGAGCTCCTCCTCCTGTTCTGGCTGTTTTGGATCTTTCCTCCTTACAGAACAGCACCCCATGCCTTAACCTAGAGGAGCCTTCCCTTTCCTCACTGTCTCAGGCAGCTCTGTCACTTCCATTCTAGTCTCCCTCCATCAAGCCACCTTGTTTAGTACCTTTATAGCATTTTATCACAACTTGAAGTGGTGTGTTTATTAGTTGCCTTGTGCGTTGTCTAACCCCTCCATTGTATGTGGCTATCCTGAAGGCAGGAATTTGATTGTCATGGTCACCATGGTGCCACCAGGGACCACATCAGTGTCTGGCATGAGGGAGGTGCTCATGGACAAATGGTACATGAACGAGTGAGTGAAGACCCTGCACTGGGGTCAAGGCAGATTGATATAGTTTGGCTGCGTCCCCACTCAAATCTCATCTTGAATTGTAGCTCCCATAATTCCTACATGTTGTGGGAGGGACCTAGTGGGAGATAATTGAATTATGGGGATACCTTCTCCCATACTGTTCTTGCGGTAGTGAATAAATCACATGAGATCTGATGGTTTCACAACGGGAAACCCCTTTCATTTGGCTCTCATTCTCTTTGCCTGCCACCATGTAAGACGTGCCTTGGTTTTTTCCCCACCTTCCACTGTGATTGTGAGGCCTCCCCAGCCATGTGGAACTGTGAGTCCATTAAACCTCTTTTTCTTTATGAATTACCCAGTCTCGGGTATGTCTTTAACAGCAGTGTGAAAACAGACTAATGCAGCAGACCTACCTTCATCGGATCCCCCAGTACAACCCACACCATGGGGAAGTTCCAGAAAATTTGTCTTCAAGGAGTCAGGTCTTTGACTTAAAATCAGTGAGAACATGGGGAAACCTTTTCTCTTTGATTTCCAACCAAGGACGTGTTAAAATAGCAGCAGTTTTAACATAAAAGTAGGGTGGACTTTGAATATTAAGGTGACCCAAGAGCTGAGCTACGTGAAAAGGGCGCCAAGCAGTGTCTTATTCTTGCCGGCACTGATGACGTCTGCCACATCAAAATGCAGGGATTGTGACAATCTCAGTATGTTCGAAGTAGCAACTTGCTGCATTTGAACTCTCTCTCTGGCCTCACACATGTAATATTCAGGAATATCTGTGTTCATAAGGGGAGCATGATTTGTGTCTTCTGGAATCCTTCTTCACGTCTGTTCCAACTCTGTGGTGTCTTTCTGAACAATTGTCCTCAGTCCTTCAAAGACTCAACTCTGCCAAACTCCTAAATAATGTCCTTCTGGAAACGGCACTTATTCCCATCATGATGACAGAGAAAAATAAGGGGAAAAACAAGATCCACATGGAAATAAGGCCTTCATCAAAAATGTGTGATGCCCTTTGATTGAGTTTCATAATGACGTTTGAATTAAAAATGCTTGAGCATCACACATGTCGTCAATGAAGTACATTTCTTGGAGAGGCTGTGTTGGAAATAGATGCTCGTTATGGATCTCAAAATGTTTTATTTTGTCAGAATTGGAGCTGGGGTCACGTGAAAATCACCACAGGCTTCCTCACGTTATCACATAGGCCCACAGGTGTGCTGGTAGCATCAATTTCCCTGTAGGTCCATACAGATAAGTTCTCTCCACTCCATGTGTGTGGAGATGGGTCCTCACAAACCACTTCCCCACTTTATGGAGGCAGTTGTGCTCAGGCACTAAGCTCTGGGGTCCAGCATCCTGTGTCCTGGCAGAGCTGGCCCTAGAGCGTGGAGACCAGAAGTGGCCCATGCCACTTGGGCAGGAGACCTGTCTGCTGGTCTCCATCTCACTATCCTGATGATGCTAGTTTTCCAGCACCAGGCATGCTGTCCTCTTCTTCCTCAGCTTCCTCTCCACCTGATGCTCTGAAGACTGGTTCAGCATGGTGTGCAGCCACCTCACCCGGCACCTGCCTCGGGTGCAAATGACCACGCGACCCTGAGTTGGGGTGTAAATGACTGCAGGACTCTAAGCTCTAAGAAACCAAAGGGCTCTGTGGTTAGGGTAGTCACCTACTTAAAATTAGGAGAGAGCCGCCTTTACACAAGATGAATCTGCACCTGATGTTCCACACCTGGAGGGCTGGGCTATCGAGGGCTTGACTCACGTGTGAAGGGCCAGGCTGCCTCACTCGGGCTGAACCTCCATGCAGTGCACAGACATTAACATGCTAATTAATAAGCTTGGCACCCATCATGAGATTCATCCCCACAAGAGCCATGTTTCATGGAAGGTGTGGCGTGCCCTGCCTCAGCGAGCACAAATCAAAGCACCTGTGAGCACTATATCTGTGCCCTCATAGTCACGCCTCTTGGAAGTTTCTCTGCTTTCTTAGTTGCAGTGGGATCTTTGCTCTTAGTGCTAAAGTTCGTGAGCCTTGCTCGGTTTCATCCATGAAAGTAAATCAGACACATCTGCAGCCACAGCAGGATGACACCCTGCCCTGAGAATATCTCACCACAATTTATGTTAAGTCAGACCAAGGGGAGATGCTGGACATATACTTACAACAGCCAGAGATAGAAATGTGTGTTTGTGTGTGTGTGTGTGTGTGTGTGTGTGTGTGTGTGTCTGGTAGGAAATGGGAGAAAGGAAAACGGGATTATTGAATATCATCTAGTCCAGGCGTTGTGGTTCATGCCTGTAATCCCAACACTGGGAGGCTGTGGCAGGAGAAACACCTGAGCCCAGGAGTTCAAGACCAGCCTGAGCAATATGGATAAACCCCATCTCTACCAAAAATAAATAAATAAATAAATAAAAAGCAATAATTAGCCAGGTGTGGTGGCATGTGGTTATAGTCCCAGCTACTCAGGAGGCTGAAGTGGGAGAGTCACCTGAGCCCAGGAGGCAGAAATTATAGTGAGCTGAGAAAACACCACTGCACTGTAGCCCAGGCAACAGAGCAAGACCCTGTCTCAAAAACAAAAGAAAGGAAAAAAGAATCATCTTGGAATTATTAAATATCATTATTGCAGGGAGAATAACCTAGTTACATCTAGACGCATCTTAAATACACCATGTCCAAAAGTTTAAAATTATTCCTAGGGCACAAAGGTAGATGTTTTGTCCCACTGAGTTTAAGAGTCAGACACTGCTATAGGACTTATCATTATCTTCATTTTGGAGGTAGGAAACTGAGGCACACAGGGGCTGAGATCCTGCCAGGATCCCCAAGTTGATAAGCGAGCTGAAATTCAGATCCTGGCAGTTTGACTGTAGAGTCTGAGCCCTTGTTCACTATTTGGCTCAAGATTTTTGCTTGGAATCTAGTTCTCAGGGAACCATAATAAACCATGTTTCCTCTGAACCTCATTTTGCTCCTACATAAAATGGGATCATACTATTAATACTTAACTTGTGAGCATCATTGAGATAGAACATGGTAAGGAAGGTTACAAGATGTAACATCCTGAGCACTACAGGTTACTCATTGATTCATGTCAAGCTGAGGGATACATCTTCCTGTCCCTGACCACAACTGGCCAGTCTCGTGCTTTCTGTCCTCTTCTCTGTGGACCCAGATCAAATTTCTTACTTGGAGAAGCTGCATCCTCACTGTTCACTCCTCACCAGGTGCATGCCAATACCTTCATTCGCTGTTTCTCCCACCTGCAATATCCCCTCGGAGAACCCGTAAGTACCCCATTCTCAGAGGGGCCAATCAACTCCACCACATCCATAAACCAGCTGGCTCCAAACTACAATGGCAGACACAGTCTACTCTACATGATCTAACCCTTACGTCCTGGCCACATCTTCTATGTGCTATGTCTTGTCTTCCCAGCCAAACTGCAAGCTCCCCAGAAGGTAACTAGTAGGTTTTTTAAAACTTACATCCCCTAGTATATAACACACCCAGCATAGAGCTGGGTACACTGTGAGTGCTGTCTACTCTAGGCAGGCTATTGATCAGCCTGGCTATATCACTCATAGATGCCCCAACCAATTGGACTGAAATTATTTGTCATACAACCCAATGCTGGTATATATAGAGCTTTACGTTTTGCTTGGTAACTGTTATCGATTCACCCTGCCCTTATTTTCAATTTCTTAAATGTGTACCCAAGACTAAATCTGTCTTCCTTAACATGAAGACTGTAGGAATAATCCACCAGGTTGAGTTTTGGGCTAGACAAAGTCATATGTACCCCTGTGGGCTCCTTAAATTTTGCTAACTGGCAAGAGGCTGCACTGAAAACTATATCTCTCCATGCGTTAAATCCAGGATTTAACTACAGGGTATTTATATTCAGTATGAAGAGGCACATAGGTGAGAGAGGGAATATAATATCGTTTTTTGGTTTTTTTTTTTTTCTTTTTTTTTGGAGACTGACTCTTGCTCTGTCACCCAGGCTGGAGTGCAATAGAGTGATCTTGGTTCACTGCATCCTCTGCCTCCTGCGTTCCAGTGATTCTCCTGTCTCAGCATCCCAAGTAGCTGGGATTACAGGTGTGCGCTACCACCCTGGCTAATTTTTGCATTTTTAGTAGAGACAGGGTTTCACCATGTTGGCCAAGCTGGACTTGAACTCCTGACCTCAGGTGATCCACCCACCTCGGCCTCCCAATGTGCTGGGATTACAGGCATAAGCCACCACACCCAGGCTGCATATAATATAGTTTTAATGAAATGAAAGATAGTTGAGGAAAAAAATAAGTACACAGAAACAACAGATATTGTATTCCAGCATCACGTCGCAGCCCATCTCCTGAAACCGTGGTGTGTGCAGTTCAGATTCTTCAGCAAGACTTTCAGTTGTTAGTGTAAGGATATATTTTGCCATCAGAAGTCTTTTTCTTTGCTTCCGCAACACTTATATTCCAATTTTCACCAACAGAAGTAAGTAATCTTCCCATCAGCACTGCTGCAGTGGCAGAGTAATAGCTGTCCCACACATTGATTCCTCTTTCTTCCTCACTATTCACGTTCTCAGAAGACTCGTGAGAAACAGGGCTCACATTTTTCCTTGACAGTGCTGTGTGGAATAAACAACAATTCCAGGAAAAAAGCGAGAGAAATTAGTAAAGCCCAAATCTTCAAAAAATAATTACTTAATAGATCTGAGGAACAGTTTGTAATGATGAAATTTGGAGGAGACAAGAGTTTTTAATTAAAAATGATGTTTATCAGAAACTTCTTATTTATCTCCTGGAAACTGAAAAAATCATCCATCCTAGAAAAGGAGTTTTGTTAAATTTTGAGGTCTTTTCTTCTTTACTACCAAACAAGAAAAGACTCACTAAGTGTATAGTTGTGTTAACAGCAACTTCATTGGTAATAGCCACAAAATGAGAATTAGCTCAGATGTCTTTCACCAGGTGAATGGCCCAACTAGCAGTAGTACATTCACACAATGGAAGACCAGTCCATAGTTAAAAATAAATGGAATATTGATATACATAACAACTCGAGCAAATCTCCAGGGAATTATATTGAAAAAAATAATTTTATGGAAAGATACTCTAATACCAAAAAGCCAGATTTGTGATTCTATATATACAATGTTATTTAAAGGGGAAAATTGTTTAGGAAAGGAGTAGCTGCCAGAGATTAGGGAATGGGGGGCTATAATGGAAGGTAGCTGGGAGATGGGTGTTAGAAAAGGGCAACAAAGGGAGGCTTGTGGTGTTGAAACTGTTCAGTACCTTGACTTGGTAGGGGATATAGGAACCTACATAGGTGAGAAAACCATATACAACTTAGTACACACATACAAATGAGTGCACGTATAACTGGTGAAGTCAAAATAAGATCTGGGGCTGGGCATAGTGGCTCATGCCTGTAATCCCAGCATTTTGGGAGGCTGGGGCAGGAAGCTCACTTGAGGCTAGGAGTTCACGACCAGCCTGGGCAACATACTGAGGGTCCCCCCAATCTCTATGAAAAATAAGAAAAGTAGCTAAGCAGGTGGCACACACTTGTTGTCCCAGCTACTCAAGAAGCTGAGGGGTGGAAGGATCTCTCGAGTGCAGGAGGTCAAGGCTACAGTGAGCTATGATCACACCACTGCCCTCCACCCTGGGCAACAGAGCAAGACTCTGTCACACACACAAAAAAAATCTATGGATTATACTTATGCACTTATGTCAATATCCTGGTTATGGTATTATGATACAGTTTTACAAATGTTACCGTTGTGGACATTTGGCAAAGGGATCAACGGATCTGTGTGCATTATTTCTTGCAACTGCCTGTGAGTTATCTCAAAAAAATTTTAACCACTCCCCAAAACAAAAAATAACCCCACATCTAACCACGAGAAAAACGACACCCAAATAGAAGGGCATTTTATAAAATGTCTGACTAGCTTTCTCAAAACTGTCAAGATCATCAAAAAAGTTGAATAGTGGATACAATTCACTACAAAGTATGAGAAACTGTCCCAGCTAAGAAGAGTTTAGGGAGACGTGATGACTGAATGCAATGTGGTCTCTTGGATCCCAGGATGGAAAAAGCACATTGGGTGAAAACTAAGGACATCTGAATAAATATGGACTTTAGTTAATAATAATATATCAATATTTGTTCATGCATTGTGACAAATGTACCATGGACATGGAATATTTTTAACTATAGGGAAAAATTGGGTATGGGATATATGAGAAGTCTCTATATTGTCTTGACAACTATTCTGTAAATTCAAAACTATCATTAAATACATAAATAATTGAATAAATGTTGGTAGTTCATTTAATAGTTAATTATTAAATAAAACACTGTTGCCCATCCAAGGGTCATGTCAAAAGGCAGGGGCCAATTTTGTCCTAACAATACAGAGAATTCCTTTCCCAGCTCCCATGAAAGGCATCTGCAGCCATGGCAGGCTTTGAAATCTCCTCCGTGGAAATGACACTTTGCTTCTATCACATAAGAGCACCATCTGCAGTGCTGTGCAGGAAAGCCACCAACCAGAACTCTGGATCTGTGTTCCAGGTCCGGCAACATAAGCGCCTTCAAGATGGCCCATGGGAAGTGGCTAAGGCATTCTCGGTGTGAGCTATTATTTATTTACTAATGAAAAACTATAAGCTAAAACGTTTACTCTAAGCACGAAGACGGCGTGATATATTTAGCTAACAATGTCCTCAATATACAGCCCTCTGGCATTGCAGTGACATTTTCTAGGGATGGAAACTATATTTTGCTTTCACACCTACGTGATTCAGGACCTGAAAAGTGGGGAAAGCAAAACAGTAATAGAACAAGTAAGAAGGTGGTTACAGCCTGGCTGTCTTTAGTATTAACTGGGTCAGACTTGAAAGTGGTAGGGCATAATTCTAAATTTCCCCAAGCTCAAGACCTGAACCTGTCAGGACTATAGTAAATGTGTGTCCTTGGAGAATACAGGTGACTACATTTAGATGGAATATGGAAGCCTTGTGAAATTTACTGGGAAAACAGACTGAAATGAGATTCATTTTTCAAGTCCTGCTTTCTTTTGTGATATATTTGCTTCTGTAGTCCCCAATAAAATAAGAGAGGATTGTTTTAACACCCTATGAATTTTCTTTGGGAGTCTATCAGCAAATAGGAAATATAAAAATGCATTAATAAAGGTATATCTGTAAGTACCAACTGCATGTAATACCCTTTAATATATTGGCCATTAAAACTTCATTTGTTCATATTTTTCATAACATTTTCTTGGAGGGAGGGCTAGTCTCCCAACAACTATTTCATCGTGGTCAGAAACAATAGCCTCATATTTGTTATTTCTGTCTCTGAAAGTAAAGGAGTCAGACTCTTGTAAAAATGAATTGATTGCAGGTATTTTACCATCTTTGCCTTTCTGTCTCCACTTCTAGGCCAAATATATTGAATCAATTTAGTTCAAGAATTATCTGGGCTTATGCCAGGGACCAAAGTTCAAAGAATATATAATAGAATAATACCTAGCTCTTGCTTTGAGAGAATTTTTTTTCTAGCTTGAAGCAAAGACTAACCTGAAATAATTATATTTGATTTAGCACCTTCTTTTACTGAGTGCAAAACATATGCCAAAAACAATAAGTATTATATCTATCCTATGAAATATACAGTATGCAATTAGCCTTAATTTTATAATGAAATATTATTCAAATTTGGCACTTTACAAATTCTCTATATTTAATCTGGTCAAGTGTAGTCCTAAAATACTGACAAGAATACTAACAATAAAGAAAAATATAGATTACTAGGTAAACTGATAATTTTATTATTACCAGTTTACCTAGTAATCTATATTTACTAAGCTGGAAACTATATTATTTTCATTCCTCTAAATTAGGTGTTAGAGCGCATTGTTATATTGGACTTGGACTTGCATGAAGATTTATCAGGGAATCCTCTGGAATGTGATAAATGTAATAGAAGAAAATGATTTTTATTTACAGCCTCTGTTGTTTGACACTTTATTTATTCCTGGCTTTGACTCCCAGAATTACCTGGAAAGTTCATTGCCTGTTGTTTCTAAATACGAATGCCTTCGTTACTTGGGTTTCCTTTTACTCTGGATCCCCTTTGAGTCTCACACGGTGGCATACAACTTTGATGAAATTGTTGTAGTCGTAATTTCCAGCGAAGCAGAATTTATCCAGAACAGAACGCTGACCTTAACATCAGCAGGAAAACCTTTTGGATAGCTGCAAGTTCAGGAATGCCAAAATATCTGGGAATAGGAAAACATCAGCTTCTTTGGGGAAAAAAGTAACAGCGAGTGTCTGAGAGCCATGGTTTAAAAGCTTGAGCTTGCATCTAGAAAGCCACACCCAGCCAAAGAAACGTCCGCGTATTTCTGAAAAGTGCTATTTTTTTAAATGTGATCTTTCTGTCAGAGACAAAAATAAAATAGAAAAGGAAAATGTGATCTGTCCATATTCCTAATTAATTTTATTTTCACAAATAAGTAAAAAATAAGATTTAACTTAATTATTTGAACATAGAAAATACAGTCATTCCATTTTACTTTTGTTATTTGCCAACTGCAATAACTGTCCATTCTAGGTTGGTTTGATTGATTGATTGATTGATTGATTGACTGGTCTCCTCATGACCTACTTTGCGTGGTTAATAATATCAAACGTTGTAATTTTACCTTGCTGACTGCTGGACATTTTTGTATTCTTAGAAATGTTCTTGAGTTTTGTTCTGGGATTCACCGAAGTTAATGAGAAGCAGTTTGAGCCTCTTTGGTTCTGCTTTTAAGAATTGTTTGGCTGAACAGGACTAGTACTCAGTTTAGAGTTGATTATTCCTACTGAAAAAGAAAGACCTTTCTGAGTACTTTCACCAATGCCCCACTGATCTTGAGGATTTCTAATGTGGCTAATGATACAGGCCCATAGCTGTAATCCCAGCACTTTGAGAGGCTGAGGTGGGATGATAGCTTGAGCCCAGGAGATCAATACCAGCCAGGTCAACATAGCAAGACCCCATCTCTACAAAAAATTTTAAAAAAAATAGCCAGGCATGGTGGCTTGCACTTGTAGTCTCAGCTACTCGGGAGGCTGAGGCAGAAAGATCACTTGAGCCCTGGAGGTCAAGGCTGCAGTGAGCTATGATCAAACCATTGCACTCCAGCTTGGGTGATAGAGCAAGACCCTTCTCTAAATATACATGTATATTTACATAGGCAGTATCCCCAGCACTATGTGTGTCCCAGGCCCTGGGACTCTAATTCTTTCTGGTAGTTCTTGTCCAGGCCTCAGGTAGTTTTCTCACACACATGTGTTAATCAGTACTGAGCTGAGATACTCAACATATCTTTGCATCTCTGTCTCTGCACAGCTCTATTCTGCCTGGTCCTTTGTCTTCCAGCCTGTAGCTGCCTTGGTCTTTCTTAGCTGTTAGCTCCATCTCTCAAGACAGGGAGCCTGCCAGGCCCCACCTCAGCCCCGCCCTGCACCACAGTCCAGAAACTCAAGACAGGAAGCTGAATCACTCACTTCATTTGTTCCTCATCTTTCTGTCCTTTGTTGATTTATTGCGGGTATATTACAAGTTATTTTTTCATTTATTTTTATCTGTTTTTTGTTGTTGTTGTTTTAGGCAGGAGGCTAAATCTGGTCCCTGCAACTCCATTTTTGCTAAGAGCAAAATGTTCACCCCAGACTTTTTTTCAAGAAGTCTATTCATTTGTTTAGGCAGAGATTTTACTACCAAAAAAATTAAATGAAACTCTCCTACTGAGGACCGGTTTAAAAGACGCACTTATTTGAAACTCAAAGATATGGAATTTTCAACAACCAAGACTGAAATATGGTTTTTGATTCATTATAGATTTCACCAAACTGGCAAGGACTGTCAACAAGTAGCACCCCTTAGTGGCCTGTATTCCTGATCAGAATTGCCAATGAGCTGTTTGCAAAACAGTCTATTCTAATGGATAACATCTCCATATGGAAGTAAGGTCGGCGTCAAAATGCAAGCAGAGTATTGCTGCTCTAAATCCCAAAATAGCAATAATTGTAAGAATTAACATGATCAATAATGTATGTAAATATGTACCAATCACCAATGCTAAGTGCTTTTAAAGTATAATATTACCTAATTTAATCATTGCAGCAGCATTAAGAAGTGGATCTTATCATTATTCCCACCTATAGATGGCAAAACTGGGGTTTAAAAAGATTAGGTGAACTGTCTATGGTTACTCAGGTATCAAGTGCTAGAGGTGAGCTTTCAATTCAGCTTTTTCTGACTGCAGAGTCCATGTGAGGCCTTTCTCCTCCATTCTGCCTCCCTGTGTAAAGAGAACCTTTTAGTCCATAAAATGCATTGTATCCAGCTTCTTAGCGTATGTGTTATTCTTTGCAAAAGGACAAAAGCACTTCCACTTCCTTCTTAGATATCCTTAAAGTTGCCTATGGAAATCTATGCTAAGGAGGCACAAGTAAGCAGCAGCAGTTATGCCAAAATCGATATTTACTATAGATTATGCAACGTAAACATTGGATATTCTATTAGGATAAAATGTGAGCTGTCATAATGCTCGTACTATGGGGAAATTATTATGGCAAAATAGGCTCAGTAAATATTTACTAGGGCAACTTATCCAGAGCTGTGCCCGATATTATATCCTGACTCTTGTATTAGCCAGGGTTCTCCAGACAAACAGAACTAGTAGGCTATATATGAATATTTAAGAGGAAATTGATTATGTGAATTGGCTCTTGCAATTTTGGAGGCCAAGAAGTCTCATCATTTGCATCAACAAGCTGGAGAACTAGGAAAGACAGTGGTGTAATTCAGTCCAAGTTTGAAGACCTGAGAATGGAGTGGGGAATGGAGCTGGGGGTGGTGGCTGGTGTAAGTCCCAGAGTCCAAAGAGCCAAAACTAGGAGCTCCAATGTCCCAAGGCAAGAGAAGATGGATGTTTCAGCTCAACAAGAAAGAGAGAGAGGGAGAATACACCCTCCATCATTTTGCTCTATTCAAGCCCTCAAGGGATCTTTACTCAGTCTACTGATTCCAGTGTCAATCTCTTCCAAAAACACCCCCAGCAATAATGTCCCACCCACCATCTGGGCATCCCTTAGCCCAGTCAAGTTGACATATAAAATTAACCAATGCAACTAAATCCTTAAAAATTTTTAGTTCATTTCTGGCAACTCACTAAGACATCTAAAAGTGCGATCCTCTTTCTTTATGTTAGAAATATGAAGAGGGATAAACAGAACATGAAGGGAGGGAAGAGAATATGGACTTCGAGTTATTTGGAACAGAGTTATATAAGTTTGACATGCTTCATATAATCTAAACAGAAATAATTATTCAAGACCATGTCTCTTTTATTCTTATTTTGCATTCTAAAGAAAAAGCAACATTTTAACCAATATCGTCAAGAAAGATCCTGTTATTCACTATTCTTAGTCTATATTAATTCAGGTAGTATTTGGATTCACTCCAGGACCAGGAAACCTAAAAATTTCTGCACAAACTTCTCCACGGGGTAAAAATTCTCAGCGATATCCCACAATAATCCCTGCTTAGAAGCTATCAATAGTGTTTATGCCAACATACCTTCCCCAGGAAGCAGCTCTGAGACACACAGCCTCAACACCTTTCTAAATATATGCAATGTTTTAAAATTGGTTTTGCCATGAAAGATTGAGGTGTGCCCATGAGACATTGACTTTAAATGCTTAAAACATCAATGTAGAAAAGTTGAAAAAGCAGTTGGATTAATGAGCCTCTCCCTTTAATTAACTCATTAAGTTGACAAGTATTTACTAAGTACGTGTTCTATGCCTAGTGCTATTCTGTCACTGTGGATGCAGTCATGACCATAACAGGCAAGTACACACTCTCAGAAGCTCACATCCTAACACAGCAACTGACCCTGGAAAGACAGGGAGCTTTACAACTGTCAAAGACAGAGATGGATAATATGGAAGAGTGGCAGAACTGAAATACTTTAGGTAACTTTATAAACAAGTGTGCCACCTCTGCTCTGAGCCCCTGTGCACACACTGACACAGACACACATTTTAACACATGGGAACTGTCACAGACACTCACACGAACACACCCTTCAAAGGATGTAAAAATCCTCCAAGATCTACTGAGGTTTTAGATAGCTTCATTTATCAGAAAGGGCTTCCTCACAGTTCATGAAAATCTCCTTTTCTTGATGATTCCACTGTTAAAATATTCCTTATTCTTTTTAGTGCCCGAGGGTCTTGTTACCAAAGTGTCTCCAAACACATTAAAACCACAGGCAATTTCTTTGTTCCCTCTGAGTCTGTCCTGGAAGATCCTGATACATTTACAGGTAGAGAAAAGTAGATGCAAATTGAAGACAATCATCCACAAACATTGGCTGTGTCCTTCATTGACATCCCAAGAGGTTAGAACTTACCGGAAAGATTCTGCAGTGATCCTTTAAAAAATGTTTTATTTTAATTGCTGTGGATACGTAGCAGGTATATATATTTATGGGGTACATGAGATGTTTTGATACAGGCATACGATATGTAGTAATCACATCAGGAAAAATGGGGTATCCATCCCCTGAAGCATTTATCCTTTGTGGTACAAACAATACCATCATATTCTTTTAGTTCTTTTAAAATGCACAATTAAATTATTATTGATGATAGTCACCCTGTTATGCTATCAAATACTAGGTCTTCTTCATTCTTCCCATTTTTTTGGTATCCATTAACTATCCTCACCTCTCCCACAGTCCCCACTACCCTTCCCAGCCTCTGGTAACTACTCTTCTACACCCTACTTTCATAAATGCAATTGTTTTGATTTTTAGATCCCACAAATAAGTGAGAATATGCAATGTTTGTTTTTCTGTGCCTGGCTTATTTCACTTAACATAATTGTCTCCAGTTCCATCCATGTTGTTGCAAATGACACGTTGTCCTTCCTTTCTATGGTTGGATGGTACTCCATTGTGTATAAATACCACATTTCCTTTATTCACTCATCTGTTGATGGACACGTAGATTGCTTCCAAATCTTTGCTATTTGAACAGTACTCTGCAGCAACTCTTGATCGGGGGCAACTCCCAACCTACATCTATAGGAGGTTTTTCTGATGCCCCACAACACAAAAGGTAAGTGCAAGCTGGCCCAAATAAAAGTGAATTCTTTCCATACATTATGATGGGGCTGTGGCTATATTAGGTGTTGTTGCAAGAACTACATTAAAACATAGCATTTAATGGGCCAGGCGCGGTGGCTCACACCTGTAATCCCAGTACTTTGGGAGGCCGAGGCGGGCAGATCATGAGGTCAGGAGATGGAGACCATCCTGGTTAACGTGGTGAAACCCCATCTCTACTAAAATACAACAAATTAGCCTGGTGTGGTGGCAGGCGCCTGTAGTCTTAGCTACTCCAGAGGCTGAGGCAGGAGAATGGCGTGAACCTGGGAGGCAGAGCTTGCAGTGAGCTGAGATCATGCCACTGCACTCCAGCCTGGGTGACAGAGTGAGACTCCATCTCAAAAAACAAACAAACAAAAACATAGCATTTATTTTCAGTACTAGTACTATCTAGTAGATATCTATTAGTACTACTGGAGTATTAGTGCTAGAGTATTAGTAGTGCCTCAAGTACTATCTAGTAGACACCAAGCCTAATGCTACACACGTTGCATGCAGTATCTCATTTAGCTCTCAGCAGAGCCAGGAGGGGTGGGTATTGTCACCATCCCTGTTTTATACATAAGGACAGTGGTAAGGCTCAGAGAGGTGAAGTACCCTGAGGGTAGGCATCCTGTACAACCTGTAGCATGTACAGGTTGTGTTCCTCAATATTTAATTGTTGATTAAAAATAAGGACTGCACACAAATTATTTTCACTGAAAGCCAGCCTGTTACTGGGTATGTGCATCTTTATTCCTTTTCAAATTTATTTCTATTTTGCTTGAGAAAAGCCAGCCAGATTTATGACGTGGTAGGACCCAGGATACCGTGGCCCCACTTTTCTCAAGAGATCCACTCGGACTCAACAAAAGAACCTTCCTGATAACTCTGCTGACACTGTGACTGAGCTAAGGGCACAACATTTATCAAAACAAATAACCATTCTGCATTCCGCTCCTAGACACATAACAAAATAGGTCTGGAGACTGGGGGAAGGGAGGGAAATTTGGATGCCACTTGTGGGGGCCACATTTTCTCTCCTGTGACTTGAATTCTTCCAGGGTGAAAAATGTGGGTCTATCTTAGCCTCAGGAAGATGCAGGACCAAAGGGAATAAATGCCTCTCTTCCCACCTGTCATGGGTGAGTTGGACTTTTGCACAGAAATCTCAAAGGATCTGAGACATCAACGCATCTTCCATCCAACTTGCTATGTAGCAAGATGACAAGACACTGGAACACAACAGAAAACTGAAAAGTGCGGTTAGAATATTTGACATTTCCCCATTGCCCTCTGACAGTGGAGGTGGAGAATTTCAGAGGTGGCCTGTTCATTCATTTTGTGTCTCTATCGCCATACAGGGTACTGTCCAGAAGCCTCCAGCCCCAAAGACTTTGTCCAGGCAACTTTTATGAGGTTCCAGAATAAGGAAAGAAGAGACTTTAGGGATTCAGAGAAACAGGAAAAAAAATCTCAAATTCACAGATGATGCCTGATTTTCTCTTTTGCAGTGGGAGCCTGGGAGATACGTTTTAAGAGGTCAGGCTTTCATTTATAAAGTCATACCCAGCAACAGCAAACTCATCAGGAGTTCTGAAAATTTGCATATTAGCAAATATGATCTGTCCACAGTTCTAATTAATTATATTCTAATAATTAAGGAAAAAAAAAAGACTTAGTTTGAAATGACTTCCATGGGTAGAGTGAAATATAAAGAACAGTACAATTTACAAATCTTTGTTTCTGGATAAAATAGATTAAAATATTAAGCTATGGTAGCAAAACCAGCATTAAACATAATCTCTGTATGTGTCCCTTTGGGTTAAATGGGGTTTTGGAAAGAACAATAAATTCAGAATGGTCCCTGAATTCCAGAATGAACATGAACAGATTCCTTCAGAAAGCTTAGCTCCAATATGCTGCCAGCTGATGATTTTGCCTTCATCTGCCAGCTAAAATTGTGGCTTTCAAAGCATCTCTTATTTTTACTCATTTATAATTGCCACAGCATGTCAATCTAACTTTTACTGTGTTTTACTTAGTTAGATATTGGTTAAGTTAAAATTATTTTTTCCCACAGCAACAGTAAAACATGAATATAATTAATAGAGATCAAATTCAAATTATTTACTTCAAATAGATCACCTGGGGAAGGATCCACGCTGCATAAACTGGTAGTAACATGCACATTTCAATCTCTACAGACCCTTGATTTCCAAGGTTAATCTCATTCATGGCCCTAGGCCAATCATGTCCCAATACTTTCTTGAATAAAACCATAACTTTTTTCCCCGAAGTACAAAAGCCATCTATATTCACAGTAGAAAATTCATGGAGGAAAAAAGAAAAATGATTTCCAGTCTACCAATCCTACAACCCACTGTGGTTAACCACTTTTAGTGAGCGTCGTTTCAGTCTTTCTTTTCTTTTTTTCTTATGAAAACATATGCATTAAAGAAGTACACTGAATATCACATTCTAAGGAGGATGTAGAGAAACTGGATCACTCGGTCGTCCATACATTGCTGGGGCGAATGTAAAATGGAAAACCTGCTCTGAAAAATAGTTTGGTGGTTCATCTTTAAATTGAATGTAGACTTACCATATGACCTGGCAATTGCATTCTTGAGTGTTTTGGGTTTTTTCGTTTTTTCAAAGAAATGCAAACTGATTTCTATGCAGAAACTTGTACACTAGTGTTCATAGCAGCTTTATTCATAATAGCCCCAGACTGAAAACTACCCAGATGTCCTTTAATGGGTGAATGGTTGATTAATCTGTGGCACAGCCATACTATAGAACACAATTCAGAAATAAAAAGAAATAAATTACTGACACATTCAACAACTTGGATGAACATCAAGGAAATTACTGTGAGTGAAAAAGCCAATCTCAAAAGGACACATACTGCATGACTCCATCTATATTTGCGAATAACATAATTACAAAGATGAGAACAGATTAGTGATTGCCAGGGGTAAGGGATGGAGGTATAAGAGAGGAAGGGTCTGAGGACTAGCAGGAGGGCACCCTGTGGCAAAGTACATTTACATACGGTGATCAATTGTGGTGGTGAGTATACGAAAGTATACATGTGATACAATTTCAGGCACACACATGCACACATCTGCAGAATGCATGTATAACTTGTGAAACCTGAACAAACTGTGAATTAGACCAATGCCAGCTTTTTTATTTTGGTGCTGTATTACAGTTGTACAATTATCTTAATATCAGGGCGGGCTGGGTGAAGGTTGTCTGGGACCTCCCTCTATGTTTCTTTCAAACTTTCTGCAAGTCTATAATTATTTTTAAATCTTGTTTTTTTTAAGTATAAGGAAGTAAGCTTGCTTTAATAAGAAATATATATAATATATATAATTATAATATATATAATAAGAAATTATATATAGCTTCAGTCATTATTTTTTCTAAAACCATCATGCTGTTCTAGTACAATTTTAAGGTTAAAGTATGAATCAATATGATATATAAAGAACACTCTATCTCATTCAAAAATATATTAAAGTAGGGAGCTAAGCTATGAGGATGCAAAGACATAAGAATGATACAGTGGACTTTGGGTACTTAGGGGAAAGGGTGAGAGCAGGGTGAGGGATAAAAAACTACACATTGGATACAGTGTACACTGCTTGGGTGATGGGTGCACCAACATCTCAGCAATCACCACTAAAGGACTTATTCATGTAACCAAACACCACCTGTTATCCAAAACCATATATATATATATATATATATACACATATATATATGCTATAGATTTTTTAAGCAAGCTGTGCATGTTACACTGTAGCCTGATTTAACTTTAACTATATGTAATTGCCATTTCTCCATATCATTATATTTTTTCAGCATTTTTAAGTGTCTTCATTAAATTCCCATGTAAAGCTAGACTATATTTAACTATTTAACTATTGGATATTTAAGCTGTTTCATACATGTCACTATTACTACTACTATGATATGCATGATTTTGGATATCATGGTTGATAACTTTTCTAATTACTTCCAGGATAATTTCCTAGATGTAAAATTTCTGGCTCAAAGGTTTTCCAAAATGTGTAAGGCTTATAATGGATATTTACCATTTCCACATCAAAAGAGGCTGCACACATTTCCTCTCCTAGAAGCATTTATGAGAGACTGTGGTTGACTCATCCTCCTCCCCTACAAACTGATCTGAGCAGAAATTTCTCTCCCCAGCTGCCTCCTGGGTTGCAGATTAGCACTCACAGAAAACTCACAGGCTGGAAACCCCAAACCTGTTACAAGGCTGTGGACCCATGCGAAGGATTCACTGGTGGGCACTGGTTAGGAGTCAGCCCCTCCATCAGCTGCAGTAGAGTGATGGGGGCTCCTGCCAGATGATGAGACACACTGTGATACCCTGAGCAACAGCAGAACTAGAAAACAGAAGAGTATCTGCCTCCCCATCAACTCTTCTCTATGCTGCATCCCAACAGAGTTCTTCCCTCTCAGGCCACAGGAGTTCACCCTCATAAAACATCAGTGAGTGTTTCCAAGATGACAATTAGTCTATTACCACCAAAAAATATTTTTTTGAGGAAGAACATTTAAAATATATACATATAGGCTGGGCATGGTGGCTCATGCCTGTAATCCCAGCACTTTGGGAGGCCAAGGCAAGTGGATCACTAGAGGCCAGGAATTCGAGACCAGCCTGGCCAACATAGGGAAACCCAAAATACAATAAATAAATAAATAAATAAATAAATAAATAAATAAATAAATATAAAGTTAGCCAGGTGGCACGTGCCTGTAATCCGAGGTACTTCAGAGGCTGAAGCAGGAGAATTGTTTGAACCTGGGAGGCAGAGGCTGCAGTGAGCCAAGACTGTGCCACTGCACTCCAGCCTGGGCAACAGAGCAAGACTCCGTCTCAAAAGTATATATATATATATATATATATATATATATATATATATATATATACACACATATGTGTGTATATATAGACATGTGTATATATATATATTTATATACATATAAAAAATAACTATTTTAGATATCCTTGCATTTTCAAGAAGGGAATCAGAAAAAAAAGTACTAAACAAAGTTGAAGGCCATGACAGAGTTAAAGTCAGGCAGAGCCAAGTCACCAGAGAGACCTTGGATTTCTTGGATTTTATCTCACGTTCTAATGATGCCATTGACAAGGGTTGCTGGGAGCACGATCTCCTTTACTGTGAGTTTCTGATGCATCTTCTACTGTCAGCTCAGCCTTTGGTTGCAAAGAAAGGATGAAATAAACTAGCAAACAGAATCCGTAAAGTTTGGTAGGTGACGGAAGTGGAGATTTAAACTGCAAATGAGGTCACTTCAAGAATTCGTATATTCCTGAACAGCATCGCTGGCCCAAGGTGAGTGAAATCATAAGAAGAAGGGCAGGTGAATTCACAGATGTTTGACTTGGTCCATGGAGTTTATGCCCCCCTTTTCCACTTGTTGAAGTCAAAAAAACAAATGTAGAGATGAATCTCTAAATTTAATGCTTTATTGGGAAGGAAAGAATTGTAATTCCAGGCATACGCATAGACTGTGTGGTCTTCCATATGTCCAAAGAACAAAGGTTACAGGTTTGTTTGGTTTTTTTTAAAGAAATGTTACATGTTCCTCTTTGAGAAAGAGTTTGTTGGCACCAGTGTATTAGTCCGTTCTCACACTGCTATAAAGAACTCCCTGAAACTGGGTAATTTATGAAGAAAAGAGATGAATTAGTTCACAGTTGCACAGGCTTTACAGGAGGCATGGCTAGGGAGGCCTCAGGAAACTTAAAATCATGGCAGAGGGTGAAGGGGAAGCAGGCATGTCTTCTCATGGCCAGGAGGAGAGAGAGAGAGCGAAAGAGAAAGTGCTACACACTTTTAAACAACCAGATCTCGTGAGAACTCACTCACTATCACAAGAGCAGCAAGAGGAAAATCCACCCTCATGACCCAATCACCTCCCACCAGGTCCCTCCTCTGACACTGGGGATTACAATTCAACATGAGATTTGGGTGGGGACACAGAGCCAAACCAAATCAACTAGTAAGGATTTGGGAAACTGGTAAGCTCCAATTGGTGAGCAAGGGTGGTGGGCAAAATTAGTCCTGAAGTTGCAGCAGGTTATCTCAGAAGCTATAGACGAAACACTTCAGGTTACAACAAGCAGTTTTAGCAGTTTTATCAGTCAGGCTTGCAGAGAATTATATTCTCAGAGCAATATTTTGTACCCTGTGTGCTTTTCCCCCTAGCTTTTCAGTTCTATTTTAGTTGAGCATGACAAGAATGACCCAATTTTTATAATCAACTTTCACATACTGCCAAGGCTGAGAGTGGATTCAAGACTGCAGGTCACACTCAGGGTTCCTCTCCTTATAAATGACTTGGTGAGAGCAAAAAGCACTTCTACTAGATTGGATCAGACTTCTGCTGTCTTCCTTTAGTTTTAGGAAAAGGAAAAATAAAAATAAAAATGACAGCTAAAGATGTATTCACAACAGAATGTGTCCCTAACAAGCCTTTTCTTTAAAGATAATTTATAAAGATGCATTTTGCAAAAGGTGATTCTGAGGACTCATCCCAGGCAGAGCAGGTGCTTTTTGCCTCAAGGCCCATAGTCTTCTGCAAGTTTGCTCTGGCCTGGTTCAGTGTTCCCTGTTTCTCTCCAACCTATTGCTGCCTGGGAATTTGTCCTCATGATAGCTGCCCCTGGGTATTTATTTCCAGTTTTGTATTTTTGATTGCTCTGATCAATATGCTACATTTTAATGTCTTGCTCATTCTATGTGCACTGCAATTTATGTTTAATTTAAAGTGAATCTGTGTTTTCTGGGGTGGCCTTTGTTTGAATACATAAAGTGGTAATCTAGGGGAAAATAAATGGTACTCTACTCTCCAGAGTAAAGAAACAACCTATAATTGTTTTAATGGTTGGTTAGGGACATCCCTTGCCACTCACTCGTTAGACTTGAGGGATGTGGCTACACTCTCGAAATGCAAAGTTGTGTGGGGCAAATAGGAACAGCGTTTGCAGAAATTCCTCCACCTGTGGGGATTTGCAGCATAACAAAAGTACCTGTGGAGAGTAAAATGATGATGATCAGAGGCTGGGAAGTGTATCAGGGAAGAAGGGAGATAGTGGGGATGGTCAATGGGTACAAAAATAAAGTTAAATGGAATCAATAAGATCCAGTATGCAGTAGCAAAATAGGGTGACTATAGTTAACAATAATTTATTGTGTGTTTAAAAATAACCAAAAAAATGGAATTGGAATGTTCCTAACACAAAGAAATGATAAACGCCTGAGGGGATGGATACCCCAGTTACCCTGGTCTGATCATTACATATTGTATGCTTGTATCAAAACATCGCATGGACCTCATAAACATATACAACTGTTATGTACCCATAATAATTAATTTTAAAAATGCAATGCCTGAGGACCCTTTTCTACCTGGGTGCTTAATCACTTTTCCAAAGATCCAGTATGTCTCATGCTTCTGGAGAAGTTGGCAAATAGTTTCTAACAGCTCTATCAATTCAGAGATTTATGTATCTGTATAGAGTGAATTCTAAAACTTTGTACCATCTCACTGTGAATACTGTAATAGATTAATAAAGCATGCTATGGGCATTCAATAGAAAATTACACCAAACTTGCCTGGAATGAAGGGAGATGGAAGCAATTCCAAAGGTCAGTAGATGGGGTCTCAATGCTTAGATCAATGTCTGAATAGGCCACCTATTCACTGGGCCAAAGCCAAGCCAGTTTTGTTAGTTAGGTGGGTATACAGTTAGGGATGCTTAAAATATTTTAGAATCTATTCATTCACTCATATGTTTATTCCCTCCACACAATATGTTATAATACTTATTATTGTCTAAGGACTATCCTTGGCCAGCAGTTTATAGAAACTTATTAGAGAAGCCAAGTCCCCTGCCCTTGGAGAACTTACCCTTAGGAAGAATGTTTCAGTTTCTTATTGCTGCTGTAACAAATGACCATAAGCACAGAAGCTCACAACAACACAAATATATTATTTCATAGATCTGGAAGTCAGAAGTCTGAAATGGGTCACCTAGAGCTAAAAATAAGGTGTTGATGGGGCTGCATTCCTTCTGGAGGCTCCAGATGAGAGTCCATTTCCTTTCCTTTTCCAGCTCCTAGAGACACTCACATTCCTTGGCTCATGGCAGCATCATTCCAACCTCTGCTTCCATTATCACATCTCTGTCTCTAGTTCTTACATGCCTCCCTCTTTCACTTATAAGAGCCCTGTGATTATATTGGACTTGCCAAGATAATACAGAATAATCTTCCCATCTCGAGATCCTTGTTTAATCACATTTGCAAAGTCCCTCTTGTAATGTAAGATCAAATTTTGACAGGTTGCAGAGATTAGGATGTAGACATCTTTGGGGCATCCAAAATATGGACATTCATTATTCTACCTACCACAGGAGATGACACAACATCAATTGATTACAACTGTGGAAAGTGCAAAAAAAATGAGGACTTTCTGGGTGCTCTAAATCAACATTAATGTTTATGCCAAACCCTTTTCTTACAACGTAGATTCTGTTTTAACCTGATGAACTAAGTCTACTTACCCTCTATCCTACAATTCAGTCGATTTTTATGTGAAGGTAACCTATTCCTCACCACCTTTGTTGAATTTATGATGCAGTTTCATCCTAGGTATTAATATGTAAGCATGCTGATAAACTTCATTAGGGAATCTTTAATGAACAGCTGATGGCTGCAGTTTGGCTCTTTATGACTAGGGAGACAAAATGCACTCTGTGCAATTGATGAAATTAATAACATATTGACATAGTACATCAAAGGGAAATTTCTGGAGATTGTAATGAGGGAGCTGAAAGAGAAAAATGCCCTTTATGTCTGTCTGGGGGAGAGGCCTATGGTGAGACTATATCCTCAAGACAAGCAAAGGCAAAAGGGATGCCAGGGAGCTTCCTTATGGCTCAGGGATTGGAACCTGGCCTCTGAGCTAGGGGTTCTGGGTTAGAATGCTGACACCGTTACTGTATTAGTCTGTTCTCACACTGCTAATAAAGACATACCCGAGACTGGGTAATTTACAACAGAAAGAGGTTTGACTCACAGTTCACATGGCTGGGAAGGCCTCACAGTCATGGTGGAAGGCAAAGGAGGAACAAAGTTATGTCTTACATGGCAGCAGGCAAGAGAGCGTGTGTAGGGGGACTCTCATTTATAAAACCACCAGATCTCATGAGACTTATTCACTACCACTAGAACAGTATGGGAGAAAGCCACTCCCATGATTCAATTTTCTCCACCTGGCCCCACCCTTGACACATGGAAATTATTACAATTCAATGTGAGATTTGGGTGGGGACACAGCCAAAGCATATCAATTACATTCTACCTGCAAGTTGTGGACACAATGCCTACCTTCTCATTGGTAAGATGGGCACCATGACAACAACAACCAGCTGACAGGCTCATCACCTTTAAAAGAGGAGTGACACATAACCAATGCTAAGTGTTGATGTTATCATCATGATTATCATGTTGGAAGATGCTAAGAGGGTGTTAAAGTCAACCTCTTTCCTTACATGAAAAATATTATGGCATATCATTGTAGTGCCAAGGACATCTGTGTTTTTAGTGCCCTTCCCCTTTGCTGTGTTTAGGGACACCTCTGACTTAGGCGAGGTATGCTGCCTGTCACATTAGGGGACCTACCTCCGCTAGCTCTCCTCAAACCAGGGCATAGGTCCAGGAGCTGGACTCCTTGCAAGATATGACCCTGTAAGCTTTCAGCCAGAAGCTGGGGACATAATGAAGGGACTCCAAAATGGCAGTGGGGCAGCCTCATCCAAGGGGCAAATATGGAAGTGGTAATAGTTCCTGAAGCAGCATCAGGGCTGGGGATGTCAGCAGTGCAGCCCTGGTTTCTGAGCCTGACTTTGCCTCTTATGTGCTGTGAGAACCTGGGAAAGTTACTATATTAGTTTGTTCTCACATTGCTATAAGGGAATACCTGAGGCTGGGTAATTTATAAAGAAAAGAGATTTCATTGACTCACAATTCTGCATGTCTGGGGAGGGAGGCCTCAGGAAACTTACAATCAAGGCAGAAGACACCTATTCACAGGGCAGTGGGAGAGAGAATGAGTGCCAGCAGAGGAAATGCCAGATGCATATAAAACCATCAAATCTCATGAGAACTCACTATCATGAAAACAGCATGGGGGAGCCACCCCCATGATTCAATTACCTCGCATCGGGTCCCTCCCACAACATGTGGGAATTATGAGGACTACAATTCAAGATGAGATTTGGGTGGGGACATAGCCAACCATATAAGTTATTTGACCTCTCTGTGCCTCAGTTATTCATTACTCCTAGAGAACAAAGCCCGTAACAGTATCTCATGTGCCGTTGTGAAAATTAAATAACTTTGGAGTACTTAGTTTCTGGAACACAGTGAGTGCTGTATAAATGTATGCTATTATTAGAATGGAAAGGATAGTTGAGGTCTAAAAGAATCATTAAATACAACCAAAGTAAGATAATTTTCTCACTTTGAATCTGTAGATTCTTTCAAAGAATCCTAGGGCAAGTTGGGAGAAAGGAGTCCTTTGGAAATCATTTGATCAGGTAGGATAACAGCTGTAGCTCCCACACTCCCAAATCCACTCTCTTTGGACTCCTGTTTTGACCTGCTCTTCAAAGATCTGAGACTCTTTTGCCATATTTATCATCATTGACACCTAAAAGAGGCATTGCCAGAGTCTCATCCAACCAGAGTCCTCTAGGATCCAGGTAGCAAATATTAAATGTGACTGTCACTACCCAGATTGAAGATGGCAAACAAGATTAAAATATTCATCTTTTCCTGCATTTTTCCTGCATTGAGTAAATAGAAAAAGATAGGGTTAGGAATCAGAGATTATTCAAAGTTGTTCCCAGAAAACAAAATAAGCTGAGTTGCTTTTGGTCCTTCTTGAAAAATCACGGTTTCTTAAATTAAAAATTTCCATTAGGAAAAGTATATGTGGCACGTGTGTATCCATATTACACACATAGGTATAAAGGTATATGCATATACATACAGTTGACTCTTGAACAATGCACTGGCGCTGACCCCCAGTACAGTCAAAAATTCTCAAAAACTTAACTACCAATAGCCTACTGTTGACCAGAAGCCTTACCAATAACATAAACAGTAAATTAACACATATTTTGTATATGTATTATACGCTGTATTCTTAACACAAAATAAACTCGAGAAAAAAGTTCTTAAGAAAATTACAAAAAAGAGAAATAATACATTTTTGTATTCATTAAGTGGAAGTGGATCATTATAAAGGTCTTCACATTGAGTAGACTGGGGAAGAAGAGGAGGGGTTGGTCTTGCTGTCTCAGGGTGGCAGAGATGGAAGAAAATGCATGTATAAGTGGACCCGTGCAGTTCAAACCTGTGTTGTTCAAGGGTCAACTGTATATGAATCTTCTTGCTTCAGAAAAAATATGTACTTTGTATACATATGTAACAAACCTGCATGTTGTGCATATGTACCCTAAAACTTAAAGTATAATAATAATAAATAAATAAATAAATAATTTTTAAAAATGTACTTTGCAAAACTATGGAGATGCAGTCTAGAAAGAGCATTTGCAAATATTATGGCTTACATGCATATGGAATAAAAAATTTATTGACTTTAGTGAGAACTATTCAGGATCTTCTGTGAAATAAATAAAGATAAGTAGTAAATTGGTTCAAACAAAGCAGTATAAATTCAGTAATATTGTACTCACAGTTCAGGGATAAACAGAACAGGACTCCTGGTTGAAAGCTGATAAATGTGCTTCAAAGCATGGGACCTGGTATTAGATAGATCACACTAGGAAGGAATATTCCAGTAATATCCAATGATAATACCCATCCCTTGCCTAAAACCCAAACTACAGCAAACCAGCACTAACTGAAACCCATGCATTTTGCTAGGGCTTTGGAATGTGTCCGTATCAAAGCAAGAGGGAAGCTACATCTTTGACTCTTACCTTGCTCAAGCTCTGAGCATGGCACCGTACACTCTGCTACAGCAAAACCCCCATTGTGTTCCTTTTATTTTATAGAAGAAAAGACAAGACGGCTATGTGATTTATTCCCTGCAGAGGGCACACCTAACAATCTTTGTCCTTAAAAGTCAGCTATAGAGGTCCAATTTTGCAAGATGCAATTCTCCACCCAAAGGCAGAGTGGTTGCATTGGGATCTGCCACCCATGACCTCTTCCAGGGATGCTGTTCTGTGAATCCCTTATCTAACTTGGACCACTCACTTCTGCTCTTGGTGAATTTGTTATGATGACACCTGTGCTTGGTTACTTATTTCCTCCTTTTCACTTTTGATTGCCTCCATTAATGTAGCACATCATAATACCTTGCTCATTTATGTGACTGAATACTTATGTTTAATGGAGGGCAATTGTTTTCTGGATGGTTTTTATTTGAGTCAATAAAAAGGTAATATAAGGGGGAAAGTGTATTCTTCTCCATTCTAGTAATAGAAACAGTATTTAATTGACACTGTTGTATCACCTGCTTGCTTGCCAGACCCAGGAGTGTGGTTATACCCAGGGAAATGCAAACTGATTTTGAGCAATGAAGAAATCATCTTGCAGAATGATCCCAACTTTGGAGGTTTGAAGCACAATGAAGACGCCCCTCAGCCCTCCCTTCTTCTACTGATTTACCTAGTAGTCACCTTCCCCAAATTCACTTTCTGCCTCTTGCCTCTAGAGAGAGTGTCCAGCTACCCTGTTAACTCTGATAAATTGGTTGTGTCAACATGGGCTCAGGTGTTCACAGGGAATCTGAGACCTGGTCCCACCTCAGTGAGAATGCTGTGATTGATTAGTGATGATGCAAGCGAACCCCCAAATTAGGGCTCATCTCAGAGGGTTCTTAGGTTTGCTCAGGAAAGAATTCAAGAGCAAGCCAACGGTAAAAGAAAGCAAGTTTATTAGAACGACAGTGTACAGTTAAGTGCCTGCTGCATAGACAGAGCAGGGATACTCCATAGGCAGAGTAGCACTGAGGGATTGCTGGCTAGCTATGTTCATAGCTACTCCTAAGTATATGCTAAATAAGGGGCAGGTTATTCACAAAGTTTCTAGAAAGGGGGCGGAGAATTTCCAGAACCTTATAAGGTAACATCCGGGCATTGTCATCGCATCTGTAAACTGTCACGGTGCTGGTGGCAGTGTCCCATAGCATGCAAATGCATTATCATTCCTAGTCCAAGCTGGTTTTAGCTGGTGTCTTTGCTACATCCTGTCATGAAAACACAACCTACTGATCTTCTACCTCAATGATGCCTACTGGGGACACAGAGTGGGAACAGACACAACACTGCCTCTGCCTAAATGAAAGAGGATGGAGCCTTAGTATCCAGGTTGATTTCTGATATTAATGACCCTAATATGGTAGCCCATACACACGACCAGAGCTAAGTCATCACGGAAAAGTAATGGAGCTTGCATTTACTGGTTTTCAAGACAACCTATTTGACTAGATCTACGTGTATTCATCCATTTGTTTATTCCTCCAACAAATATTGCTGATGCCCCTGATGTTCCAAACACTGGTCTCTGCTATGAGAGCATAAAAATCAATAAAATATTTCAGTACTTGCCCTCAGAATTTACGATTCAGTAGGGATGATACAAAATCCATTAGTTATAACTGCGACACATGCTACAAGGAAAACATTAGAGTGCTTGAAGCCCACATCACAGGATATGTTCCTTACACCAGGTAATGCTTTCACCTGACGAAGTATTTACTCTCCTTCCTACATTTCAATCTACTTTTTATGTAAATGTGAGTTAGTAATGTATTCTTCACTACTTCTGTTCCAGTACTTTCAATGCTTCTCATCCAAGTTATTAAAAATAAAAAGGGGCTGTTAAACACCTTCAAGGAAGATTTAATGAAGCTAAACAAATGCAATGTGTCCTTTTGTAGGTTGGATGCATGTAATTTACCAAACAATACAAAGATACCAATACCTACTGGCAGAGCAATTAAAGGGAAATTCCTGGCACTTGGATGGGTGGTTCTTTACATTATGGAAAAGTCCAACATATTGTAGGGGAATAACCAAGGAATAACATCCCTTGGTTCCATAGACAGTAGATGCCACAGCACCCTCCATTCACTGTGACTAGAAATGCCCCCACACCCTTACAAATGCTCCTTAGGGATGCGGTATGCTCTGCAATTGAGAATCACTTATGGTCAATGCATTGGTCTTTTTGTTGGGCAGTTCTACCAGATGGCATAAAAACAAACAGCTAAAGTTGGTTCTTGGTATAGGTTGATCCATGTGTTCACTGGAATGGAGAAGAGGAAGTTATCAGAGACCGAGTTAGCTTCTACACATCTTTGAAACTGACAGTGGATGCCACATACTTTGACAGAGCTTAGGGGTCTTTCAAAATAAATGTGTCTCCTGTCCACATGATGCCTTGCAACTGTCCTTCCCTCAGTTCATAAAAACTAGATTTTTAAAATTTTCTGGGAAAAAGAAAACTCAAAACAGTTCCAGGCCACATATCTTCTGGAACTTTCCTATTTTATACTTAGATGAATTAAAGTTGTTAAAATTAAAAGCCAAGGATTTACTGTCTTCATTCTCTGGATCCCCATGACAATGTGAACCTTCAGACAATGTCTACATTTGAGAGAGAAGCCCGATGCGGTGAGCCCAGGAGGGAGCAGCAGGAGGAGCACCTCTCTTAACTCATAACCATGTTATCTTTCCCCATGTTTCCTGTTTTCCCAAGTTTTATACCTTAAATAAGAAAAAGTAAGTAGATAACACATAAGACAGAGCAGATACATAGCAAATAAATATATAAAATTATTGAATAAAGCCTGCCAACACAGCCTTCTGAGTAAATGCAAATTTAAAAGTACATGTATCAAGAAAAGTTGCAGCCCTAGGTTTCAGAGACAAGAGCCACTCCAAATAACTGAGGCACCGTGCTCATGATGTGCTTATGACAAGTGTCAGGGAAAACTGCTGGAAGTCTTCAAAAACTTTAGCCAAGACACAGAAACTCCACTACCCAGGGTGCATTTCTTTTTGTGACATCTTTAAAGACATATAAATGGACACTATTATTGGCAACATCTGCTATCACCTGGTAAAAACATGTATACATTATTTTATTCAACAAAAATGTAGTATGTGTATATTTGTGTATGTTTGCACATTAATCAGTACACACAAATTTTTTTTTTTTTCGAGACAAAGTCTCGCTCTGCCACCCAGGTTGGAGTGCAGTGGCACAATCCTGGCTCACGGAAACCTCTGTCTCCCGGATTCAAGCAATTCTCTGTCTCAGCCTCCCAAGTAGCTGCGATTACAGGTGGCCGCCACCACGCCCGGCTAATTTTTGTATTTTTAGTAGAGACGGGGTTTCACCATGTTGGCCAGGCTGGTCTCGAACTCCTGAACTCAAATGATGCACCAACCTCGGCCACCCAAAGTGTTGGGATTACAGGTGTGAGCCACTACTCCCGGCCCAACAAAATTATCTGAAAATTATTTTTCTCTCACTGTGGGAGGAAAATCATGTTCAGAAGGGTTTACAGTCAATTGCAGCAACCTGGCAGAGTTTCCGTCAAGCATTATTTATAAAATACTAAGTATCAGTAAAAAACTAAAATTCAAATATATTATTTCAAGCTGATTTGTGATTAAAATATATGTATGATAAAATACAATTATAAAGTGTGTTGGTGTAAAATTAAAAATGAGTAATGTATGTACTTACCATGTGACTCACCAATTGCACCCCTGGGTATTTATTCCAGAGAAATGAAAACAGGTTCACACACAAACCTGTGTATAAATTTTCATAGCAACTATGTTGGTTCGTTCTTGCACTGCTATAAAGAAATACCTGGCTGGGCATGGTGGCTCACGCCTGTAATCTCAGCACTTTGGGAGGCCGAGGTGGGCGGATCAGGAGGTCAAGAGATCGAGATCATCCTGGCCAACATGGTGAAACCCCGTCTCTACTAAAAACACAAAAATTAGCTGGGTGTGGTGGTGGGTGCCTATAATCCCAGATACTCAGGAGGCTGAGGCAGGAGAATCGCTTGAACCTGGGATGTGTGGAGGTTGCAGTGAGCTGAGATCGCGCCAGTGCACTCCAGCCTGGTGATACAGCGAATCTCTCTCTGAAAGAAAGAAAGAAAAAGAAAGAAAGAAAGAAGGAAAGAAAGAAAGAAAGAAAGAAAGAAAGAAAGAAAGAAAGAAAGAAAGAAAGAAAGAAAGAAAGAAAGAAAGGAAGGAAGGAAGAAAGGAAGAAAGAAAAGAAAGAAAGAAAGGAAGAAAGAAAGAAAGAAAGAAAGAAAGAAAGAAAGAAAGAAAGAAAGAAAGAAAGAGAAAGATGGGAAGAAAGAAAGGAAGAAAAAGAAAGAAAGAAAAGAAAGGAAGGAAGGAAGGAAAGGGAAAGAAGGAAGGAAGGAAGGAAAGGGAAGGAAGGAAGGAAAGGGAAGGAAGGAAGGAAGGAAGGAAGGAAGGGAGGGAGGGAGGAAGGGAGGGAGGGAGGGAGGGAGGGAGGGAGGGAGGGGAAGGGAAGGGAAGGAAGGAAGGAAGGAAGGAGGAAGGAAGGAAAGGAAGGAAGGAAGAAAGAAAGAAAAAGAAAGACCTGAAACTAAGTAATGTATTAAGCAAAGAGTCTTTACTGGCTCATGGTTCTGCAGGTTGTACAAGTATGATGCTAGGCATCTGCTTGGCTTCTGGGAGGCCTCAGGGAGCTTTTACTCACATTGAAAGGCAAAACAAAAGCAGGCATGTCACAGGGTGAGAGCAGAAGCAACAGAGCAAGAGAGGGAGGTGCTTCACGCGAGTAAACAACCAGGTCTCCAAGAACTCACTCACTCTCTCCAGAACAGCACCAAGAGTATGGTGCTAAACCGCTCATGAGAAAACCACCCCTATGACCCAATCACCTCCCACCAGGCCCCACCTCCAACACTGGGGGTTACATTTCAATATGAGATTTGGAGGGGACATCCAAACAGTATCAGCAGCTTTATTGATAATTGCCAAAACCTGGAAATAGATCAGATGTCCTTCAAGGGAAAAAAATGGTTAAACAAACTGCAACACATCCACAGCATGGACTATTACTCAGGATTAAAAAGGAACAAACACACACTCCCCCTCCCTACTTTCCATCTTTTCTCTCTCCCTCCTTCCATCATTTCCTCTTTCTGTTCTTTCTTCCATTTCATCCTTGGTTCCTCTCTTCTTTTCTCTTCTCTTCTTTCTCTCTTCTGCCCCATATCTTCCTCTCTCCCTTCTCCTCTCCCTCCCTTCACCTCTCCCTTTTCCTTCCTTCCTTGTCCTCCTCCATCCATCATCTCTTCTCCCTCTCTTTCTCTCTTCTTTTTCCCTCTTCTTTCTCTCCTGTATGCCCCCCGCTCCTTTCCTCTCTGCTCCCTCCTTCTGTGACACTCTTCTCTCCTTCTTCCCGTCCTCCCTCCTTTCTTTCCTTCCTTCCCACTCTGGCTTCCCTGATGCTTTTCAGACACACAAAATGCACTCCCACCTCCTAGCCTGTGCAGGGGTCATTGATCCCTCTGCCTGTGTAAAAGTAAAATGGTGAAATTATCTTTAATGAGAAAGGAACTGCCTCCCCACCCTCCTGAGGGCATCTCCTTGAAATATCATCTGTCCAGGAGGCGCCAGGTCTTTTGATTTCACAACCCAAGGATCACGAGCTCCTGACCTTGGAGCTGTGGGGACGTGCCTCTGGAATTAGCTCAGGTGTCTCCCACAGGGAATACCAGAAACAATCCCAGAGTACATCTGTTTATCTCTTAAAAAGAAGAGAATTTTTCATTGTTCTCTCTTCCACTTTATTATACAAAGTTGAATGAAATTCTGTCCAGACCCTGTACACATATTCAAGGTACTTTTACATGCATGAGAATTAGTAAGTAATGCCTACTTGCTAATAAATTCTCCCTCTCTCTCTCTCCCCTGCCCTCTCCACCTCTCTCCCTCTCCCTCTCCCTCTTTCTTTCTCCCACTTATTTGTAGGAAGAAAACTTTTATTTCACTCCCTTCATTCAGGCCTCTCTCTGTGAGTGGTCACCCTCCCCGACTCGGTATGAAGAACGTTTCATTTCTCTTCACAGCATTTACTACCACCTATTTTATTTTAATATATTAATTTGCTTATTGCATTTATTCCTCATCGTTACTATCTAAGCTCCTTAGAGGAGGAACTTTTTTTTTCACAGCTGCATCCTGAATTCCTGGAGCAATTTGCTGTAGTCAGCAAATATTATTGAGCACATTCTTTCCACAGCTATTTACTGAGCAGTTACAAGATGCCGGGCACTTAAAATACCAGATGAGACCTGCTAAGCCTTTTGGATAGCTCAGTGGACCTACTACATAGCAATAACTTCCAGAGTTTATGCACAAACCATATTCTAGAATACAGAATTGAATGCCCTTCCTTCAGTACATTAAGCCACCTGTATTATTAGAAATCAAGATATAAATGGCAAACAATATGTTGAGTTAATGACAAAAAGTAGTTTACAAAACCCTGTGTTATAACAAACTTCCAGGTTTTTTGTTTGTTTGTTTGTTTGACAGTCTCCTCTGTTGCCCAGGCTGCATGCCGTACAGTGGTAAGATCTTGGCTCACTGCAACCTCCACCTCCCGGGTTCAAGCCATTCTCCTGCCTCAGTCTCCTGAGGAGTTGGGATTACAGGGGCCTGCCATCACACCCAGCTACATTTTGTTATTTAATAAAGATGGAGTTTCACCACGCTGGCCAGGCTGGTCTCAAACTCCTGACCTCAAGTCATCCTCCCGCCTCAGCCTCTCAAAGTGTGGGATTACAGGCATGATTCCTGTTGGAATCATGTATTTTCTGCCAGCGGCTTTTGAGCCACTTAAGCAGGTGACAGCTGACACCTAGAAGAACATATATAGGGAATAGTCACCACGCCCAGCCTAGGTTCTTTAAATTATATGTCTTAACTTTCTTTATCAGAAATAATGCAGCCTTTTGAAAATATTCTTATTTTTGCAAGCCGATTTTAGACTCATCTCTGAAGTTCCTAAGCCTTTGAAAGATAAAAATTCTTCTGGTTTGTACATGCAAATCCTCTACGGTCATCCTACCTCTGTGCTGTTTGAGCATTACTTTCTGGGACTCTCCTGGCTCTAACCTGCCTGAAAGACCCTGGAGAACAGGCCCCACATCTTTACTTTCTTGAAGGCCCCACTTCACTCTTCAAGGGAGATGTACACAGGACTCCTGCTATGGGGCATGCAGAAAGAAAACATGGCTCTGCACAGAGGATGAGACAGGGGTTGGGATCAGATACACCAGAATGAGATGTCTTCTTCCTGTGCCACTGAGGAATTGTGTGACCATGAGCAGGATCCTCGCACTCTGTGCGTCAGTTTCAACGATAGCCAAATGGAGATAGTAATAGCAGCAACACCCTCCCTGACTTCTATAAGGACCAAATGAGGTCAGGTCTGCAAAGCCCGTAGTCAAAATGGTCAGGGCATGGCCATTCCTTGGGGGTGGGGCTGGGAGGGTGAGGGACGGAGCAGGTGGATGGAGTCGGGGAGGGTTCTATTGGATACATTAGATTTTGGAAAGTTCTATCCAGTGTTCAGGTCACTAGGGTGGAATAAGGCTGGGAGGAGTGAATTGGAGAAAAAAGAACGGGAGCTGACTGAGTGAAAACATTTCACTCTATTTTAGGCTCTAGCAAAAAAGAATAATTGATTGAGGGCAAAAAACAATAATTGATTGAGGAGTTAAAAGGAAGATTCTCATAAGAGATTCTTATCTTTGCATGGAGAACTGTAGTAATTTTGTCCTGTGAAGGAATTAAAGTTTAACTCTAATTTACTAACTCTAATTTAATCTAAACTTAGAGAGATCACTATATAACAAGACCCAAAATTTATAACAGTCACCATTTTTTATCACAAAGTCATCCCAAGAAGTGTATTGAACACAAATTACATCCATCTATCATGCTTAGACATATGACATTGTAATCGTATCGGTGAAAGTGATCAGATATCAGCCATTTCACGTGGGCCAATTTAGTAAGAGTCACCAAACTAAACAGATAGAGCCACCCAAATGTTGACTAAAATCCACATTAATATAATTAATGTACACTCTCTTCAAATCGGATTCCAAAACTTACTTCATCTTCAAATATTCGCCCTGGCCCTGACCTCGGTTTTGCTCAAATAAAATAGTCCGAAAGCATCCTCTGAGCAGTCACCTAAACCGAGGCTTCTCATTCAATCAAACTGCCTAATCTCCTCCATTTAGAAACATCTGATACCCCCGGGGGCTATTTCCTTGAGACGAATTTAGAAGACTGCTTAGCTATTAGGCGTTTCTGTTTAGCTCTAAATATCCACTTATAAGTGCAAATTTGCCAGCGAGCCCCAGCACCTTGTATGACTGAGTCATAAACAGCACATGGTTCTGTTGCTCTAACACAATTGGCTGCAGGGCTCGATACCGTGCATCTGTCGGAATCGTGTATTTTCTGCCAGCAGCTTTTGAGCCACTTAAGCAGGTGACAGCCAACACCTGGAAGAACAAATATAGGGAAATAGTCACAAAAGATTGTAATGTGTAATGTTAGGACCATTTAAACACCAGAATGTGGAAGGGCTATAGATTTTTCTCTCTCTCCAAGGGATACAGGTCAAGGGGCTCCTGTTATAACGGGCAGAATTCCCCGCAAGCTGCTGCATTAATTAATGAGACCTGTGCCAACTGAGAGAATCACGTCCTGCCTCAGGCACATTTTGCTTCCGCTGACTTTTCCTGAGCTCTCATCCAGCTTCTATTCATCCTGCTGGCTGCCCCAGTACACTGTCAGTGTTAGGGTGACATTGTTCCCAGCAGGGCCCCCTCTGCACAGCCCCCAAAAAGGTTCCAGGCCGGCTCTCCATCCTGCATGGGCAGATGACCACAAGCCCCTGTTTGCCCAGGGCAGTTGTGGAATAATTAGTAATAGCAACTGTTTTATTCATAAAAGCATCCCTGTTTGGAGAATAAAGTGCACAGTTGCACTAGCATGGTCCACACCAGCTAACAGAGACACTCAACATCCTCAGCTACAACACACTCCAGTCATGTAGCCCCTTCCCATAGAGCAACCCCCAGCAGCCCTGCCACCTGGACAGGTAGACTGGCCCCCCCAGAGACCTGCAGACTTCCTGGGTGTCACCATCCATGGTGCCCCCAAGTTTTAAGCTCTCCATGGAAGGGTTACAAAGTGGCCGAGCTAGGATTCAAATTCAGCAAGTCAGTTCCACAGCCAAGAGCTGGTAGTAGAGGTCCCCATCTGTTGTTGGGGGAGTTTATAAGGAGCCAGCCAGTTTGGAGAAAGGGCGGGGGGTTGGAATCAAAGCAAGCTTGGCTTTGCAGGTGATGCAAAAGATGACACAGAGGGTGCTTCCGGGCAGAAAGAATGCCAGGGGTCTGGTGAACACACAGAGCTGTCTCTTTGGGGGGTAATCGCTGGTGAGTGGCCTGTGTACCCCTCATTCATTCCACAAACGTGCCTGAGGACCTAGGCTGTGTCGTGCTGGCTTCTAGGTCCTGTATCAGCAGCCAGCAAGGTCTCTCTGCTCAGGAAACTTACATGTTAGTGAGTGAGACAGAAAGCAAATAAATACATCCTCACTATTATTTCAGATTGTAAGGAGTGTTTTGAAGGACAGGAGACAGAACGATCTTACAGTGCAGTGGACATGAGGATGCAGGCCCAGCGTTTCCACTGCTCCTGCCTCGGCACATCTGCCCCATCTCTCTTCTTTATCTTCTTCTCCCTCAGGTCTCTCTGAGCTCACATGTCACCTCCTTGCTGAACTGTTTCCCGACAATGCTGTCTACAGAGGCTTAAGGTGTCATGGTCAGGAGCAAGCCAGTGTAGCCAAGTGCTGGCGAAGGTGGTAGGTGGAGGGCAGGTAGGGTCTTGTGGGGTTCTGTGGGTCACAATGAGGGTCTCAGATGTTCCTCTGAGCCTCCAATGATGAGGCATTTGGCAGGGAAGTGACATGATATAATCTATGTTCTGAAAGATTTCTCCGCCTGCTCCGTGGAGAATGGATGGCGGGAGATAAATGTGAGTGAACCTGAAAGCTTTGGAAGAGGTTGGATAGATGGTCTTCATTCATGTTCGGCGTGTGCCAGGGCTCTGCTTCCACTTGTCTCCAGAAGCCAAGACCACAGGGCCCTCCTGAGATAGATGTGACTAAACTCTAATAAATATAAATATACTAGTTGACTCGGTAGGATTTAAAATCATACAGGAAGAATTCCAGGACACATTTCCAATTCTCCAGGTGTTAATTTCGTGGCCAATCAATATACTTCCTCCGGTGTGAAAGAACAGCCCAGAAGCTAATTTTGAGAACCCATGAACTTGTACCCACATATAAGACCTGCATACGAAACTTGTGGAAAACCTGAATATAAACCAGCTGCCTCTGACCACCATTTCTTGCCCACATAGGAAATATTTTTGAAACTGAAATGCAAAGGAACTCTTTGATGTTATTATTTTCTTTACATTGGCCAGCAAAAGAAGAATTGAAATTGATGTAATTTTTTTCTTTTCTTTCTTTTTTTTTTTTTTTTTTTTTTTTTTTGAGACAGTCTCACTCTGTCACCCAGGCTGGAGTACAGTGGTGCAGTCTCGGCTCACTGCAACCTCCACTTCCCGTGTTCAAGCAATTCTTCTGCCACAGCCTCTTGAGTAGCTGGGACTACAGGTGTGCGCCACCACGTCCAGCTAATTTTTTGTATTTTTAGTAGAGGCGGGATTTCACCTTATTGGCCAGGCTAGTCTCAAACTCCTGACCTCGTGATCCACCACCTCAGCCTCCCAAAGTGCTGGGATTACGGGTGTGAGCCACCTCGCCCGGCCCAATGTGATTCTATTAATAAAATACATAGAACAGTCCCAACATGAGAAGCTGTGGTCATATTAAATCAGCCCTGTGCCTAAGCCTGTCCAGGATGCAGGCCCAGCGCTTCCACCCCTCCTCCCTCAGGACATCTTCCCCTATCTATTCTTTATTTGATTCTCTTTCAGGTCTCTCTCCGCTCACATGCCACCTCCTTGCAGAACCCTTTCCCAAAGATGCTGTCTCCAATGGCACCGGGCGTCACGGTCAGGAGTAAGCCAGTATAACCCATGATGGGGAATACCGTCTTAGTCATTTGGGGCAGTTACAACAAAGTCCTGTGGACTGGGTGGCTTATAAACAGCAGAAATGTATTTCTCATGCTTCTGGAGGATGGAGGGCTGAGATCAAGTTGCCTGTGTGATCAGGTTCTGGAAGGGTCCTTGTCTGGGTTGCCAGCTTGTCCCTGTGTCCTCAAATGGTGGAAAGAGGGCTAGAGAGCTGTCTGGGGTTCCCTTTTGAAGGGCACTCACTAATCCTATCCATGAGGGCTCCACCCTCATGGCCTCATTACCTCCCGAGGCCCCAGGCCTTTATACCATCAAACCAGGCATCAGGATTTTGACATAGGAAAGTTGAAGGGACACAAATACTCAGTCCATTGCACTCATCCCTCACCCTGGAACTTCCCCCAGCATGCAGTCCTTTTGTTTCTACCTAGCTCCAATTCAGCTTCCTGGGTGAAGGTGCTAATCTCAGGACATGATTCTCTCTGGGGCTGTGAAAGTCTCATGAATTGATTCAAGAGCTTGCAGAGAATTCTACCCACTGAAATGTGAGCAGGGAACGTTCGCAGGGCCCAGAGAAGGAGGAAACTTCTGCCAGGGCCCAGAGAATGCAGCCAGCTTGAGAAGGTGAGGGATTTACTTATCATCTTTCCTGCCACTTTCCTTCCATCTCTCTATTCCAGTCTGCAGTATCAGAACCTGGCTGGCAGGCTGGGGCTGAGTGAGAGCAGAAAGAGAGAAGAAATCCTTTTCACTGCATATTTCCAACCTGAAGATAATCACTTGATATTTCATAATATTTAGAATTTTGATTAATAGTTTAGTGGTGTATTAGGGTTCTCCGGAGGGACAGAACTAATAGGATATATGTACATATGCAAGGGAGTGTATTATGGAGAATTGGCTCTCAGGATCACAGGATTACAAGGCAAAGTCCCAGCATAGGCTGTCTGCAATCTGGGGACGAGAGAAGCCAATAGTGGCTCAGTTGGTGTCAGAAAGCCTCAAAACTAGGGAAGCTGACAGTGCCACCTTCAGTCTGTGGCAGAAGGCCTGAGAACCCCTGGGAAGCCACTGGTACAAGTCCCAGAGTCCAAAGGCCTTAGAACCTGGAATCTGATATCCAAGGGCAGGAGGATTGGGAGGAAGCATCCAACACAGAAGAACGAAGGAAACTGGGGGACCCAGCAAGCAAGGTCATCCCGTCCTCCTCCACCTGCCTTGTTCCAGCCATGCTGGTAGCTGAGTGGATGGTGCCCACCCACATTGAGGGAGGGTCTTCCTCTCCCAGTCCACTGACTCAAATGTCCATCTCCTCTGGCAACTCCCTCCCAGACACACCCAGAAACAATACTCTGCCAGCCATCTAGGCATCCTTCAAGCCAATCAAGTTGACATCTGATACCAAACATCACAGATGTGCTGTTTTAATTTAGGAAAGACCACTGGACTCTTTTTTTTTAACCCAATATTGAGGTGGCTGGTCCTGGGCTGGCTAACATTTTAAACAAGGGAGAGGCGAGGGTTACCCCTGTGAACACATATTGATTGCATTCCAGGGGCTGGCCCATCCACAGAACCACTATACGTGTTCCTTCCTCCTTTACTCTTCCTTTCAAAAGAGATTTGTAGAGGAATGAAGAGATCCTGCTGTGGAAGGAACACAATTGTGATAAACCCCAGCTTTCTTACCTCCTTTCTTTAAAAGTTCAAACATTTCCTGAAATGCTCTCATTTATTCACTTTGACTTTTGTTTTGAGTAGAAATGTTCCCCCTAAACTGAATGTGCAGACCACTTTTCTTCGGACATATTGAATATGTGCAAATGCCAGCCGTGCATTAATAGTCCTGGTCTTCCTACACCTCTGCCTGAAAGGTCCCTTTTGTATTTTTTTAAAGCATCTGGTTGTGAAATGATGTCACCTGGAGAAGGAGTCAGATCACGTCAGATCACGGTCCCTCCTCTTAGTGGCGGCAGACTTCAGGGCTTCATCAAGAACGCATCCTGGAAAGACTAGACTTTGGAGATGGGTACAGTTCATTCGAAGTCCTATGAGTACCAGGAGGCACGTCTTGTTCATTTTCTGATCACCACAATTGGCTTACACACCACCTTGATCATTGTTAACACTAAGATGTTGGTTCAACTTCATTCTAATTTTCAAGTTTGTTCTGTTGTAAGGGACAGAAACAGAGTCAGAAGCCACTAAGAACCTAAGAGGTGGCTTTGAGCACATGTGTCTTGGAGGAAAACTAGGGATTTTCATGGACTTGGGGAGAAGAAGGGGAGCCATGGGACCAGCACCCTGGATATGGGAGAGGAATTCAGAGCTGTCCTATCTTTGCAGGTCCAGTGCTTCACTGCTGGCCTCTGTGTGGCCTCTCTCTTTCTCACAACAGCCAGACATTTACCATGAGGTAGACCCAATGCCCAGAGGCCCCAGCTCCCTCCTTCTAACCTATGACTCCAAAAGTACAATTGCAACCATAAAGTCCCATAGAAAGACTCAGAGAGGCCAGGCCTGGGTCTCATGCCTACATGATTGGCCCCAGTAGCGCCATGTGCCCTCTTTGGCCAGGTGAGGGAATTCATACCCTCTTTATCAGAAAAGTGGGAAAAGGAAAGTTTTCTGAGCAGACAAAATAAAATTAAAATAAAATCTAACAGCACCTTCAAGCCCTAGGTATATACTCAGAAAAATTGAAAGCATATGGTCATATAAAAACCTACATATCAGTGTTCAATAGAAGCATTATCTAAAATAGCCAAAAAGTGGTCAGGCATGGTGGTTCACACCTGTAATCCAAGCACTTTGGGAGGTCGAGGCAGGCAGATCACTTGAGGCGAGGAGTTTGAGACCAGCATGGCCAACATGGTGAAACCCTGTCTTTACAAAAAAATGCATAAATTAGCTGGAAATGGTGGTGCATGCCTGTAATCCCAGCTACCCAGGAGGCTGAGGCAGGAGAATTGCTTGAACCTGGGAGGTGGAGGTTGCAGTGAGCCAAGATCACACCACTGCACTCCAACCTGGGTGACAGAGCAAGACTCCATCAAAAAAAAAAAAAAAAAAAAAAAAAAGCCAAAAAGTGGAAGCATCCCATGTCCATCAACTTATGAATGAATAAATAAAATGTGATCTATATGACAGAATATTATTCACCCATATAAAGGAATGAGGTACTGATCCATGCTACAATGCAGATGAACCTTGAAAACATGATGCTGAGTGACAGAAGACAGACACAAAAGGCCAAGTATTGTATGAGTCTATTTATATAAAATTTCCATCACAGGCAAATCTATAGAGACCTAATCAATGAGTAGTTTCCTAGGGCTTAGAGGAGACAGAATGGAGGAGGAACTGCTAACAGGTACAGAGTTTCTTTTTCAGTGACAAAAATGTTCTAAAATTTATTATAGTGAAAGTTGCCCAATTCTGTGAAAACTAAAAGCCATTGATTGGTATAGTTTAACAGTTGAATCTTAGGGTATGTAAATTATAGTACCATAAATGTATTAAAAAGAAAATAACATGGACTAAGAGATAGGGGCAAAATCAAATGGAGCCTAATGTCATTCATTCAATAGGCATTGTAGTATCGACACATGGCAGGCACTGCCATCTGCTCAGAAGCCAAGGAGGACTGAGATGTGAATATTCCCCTGAGAGCTCGCAGGTTTTGCAAGAAACAGACTTCTCACCCAACAGAGTCCATCAAGAGAGGAGTGCAAAAAGGAGAACTGCCAGGCACCAAAGAAGTTTAGAGAATGTGGTGATGAACTCTACCCTGTGGCAGGGGGTCAGGGAGGAGATCAGAAAAGCTTCACAGCAGAGATCACACCTGAGTGGGGTCTTGAAGGGTGAGGCTGTCCCAAAAACAAGATGGGAAAAGAGCGCTCCAGGCTGAAGCAGTGTAACAAAGCCATGATGGCAAGGAGGAGCTGGATGCTTGAGGAGCTAAGGAATGGGTTGGGGGGACAGAATGGGAGTGTGACTGGGGAAGGACATACAGGGAGCCACATATGCATGGTCTCCACCAAGAGGCCTCGTCCACCCTGATAAGGAAGGAACCAATCATGCTGATGAGAAGCTCTTTTTTATTGTTAATTAAAGGAAGGGTCTGATGGTCCCTAAATAAGGACAATGACTCATAGCTACAAGGCTCTTGCCACATGGAGGGCTCTGTGCAAAGGGTGTCATTTAATCCCCTAACCACCCCATGGGGCATGTGCTGTTCTTGTTCCTATAACAGGTAAAGAAACTGAGGCTCATGGAGTTTGCATATCTAGCCAGTGATTTCTCAGTGGTAGGCAGTGGATCTGAACTTCAAATGCAACTATATTAGTCCATTCTCGCGCTGCTAATAAAGATACACCCAAGACTGGGTAATTTATAAGGGAAAGAGGTGTAATTGACTCACAGTTCATTATGGCTGGGGAGGTCTCAGGAAACTTAACAATCATGGAGAAAGGGGAAGCAAACCTGTCCTTCTTCACATGGCGGCAGGAAGGAGAAGTGCTGAGCAAAGGGGGAATAGCCCCTTATAAAGCCATCAGATCTCGTGAGAACTCACTCACTATCATGAGAACAGCGTGAGGATAACTGCCCCCCTTTTTCAATTACCTCCCGCCTGGTCCCTTTCTTGACACATGTGGGGATTATGGGAACTACAATTCAAGATGAGATTTGGGTGGGGACAGAGCCAACCCATATCAGCAACTTTTCACTTCCCATGTCTGATATTTAGCCACTATATTATACTGCTTCTCCTAACAACAACAAAAAAGTAATTTATATTGGCAATGGGAAATTTTTACAATTCTTAAACCCAAAGCATTATTACTACAAAGCTAATATCTGAAGAGTTGATATTTGTGTAGAAATCATTAACATTGTATGCTCCCAACCTGATTTCAGTAAATGAGAGCATTTTTCTCAAAACCCAAAATTTCTGCCAGAATGAAGTGGTCCAGTAGTTCGTTGTGTATTCACAATGATTGCTAGGTACTCTGCATGGAAACTCAAATGATTCTGGATCAGTGAGTCCTAAACAAACCACATCAGGAGAAGGCCAAGCTTCACATTCTTGCCAGAAAGGGCTGTTTTTAATGCATACATGTATTTTAATGACAGCAAAAATTTATTGAGCTCGTACAGTAAGTCAAAACTATTCTAAGCACTTTGCACATATTGGCCCAGGTAATTGCACAGTAACCTATAAGTTGTGCATGATTATCTTCATTTAACATGTGAGGACACCACGGTATTAGAAGACTAAATTACTTGCTCAAGGTCACACAGTGAAACAGTAAGTCCAGCTTCAGTGTGTGTGTGTTTAACCATTATGCTACCCTCCCACCTACTCACCTGGAAAATCTGGTCTGACCCTATTTAACATAAAGAAGAATTAGGCTTGTAATCCTCCCAGCCTGGGCAACACAGTGAGAGCCCAATCTCTACCAAAAAAAAAAAAAAAAAATTAGGGAAAGGGATAGTTCAACTTGGATCCTTCTCAAAAGAGCTTGGTTATTAATGTGTCACCAGAAATACTTTGGCCACAGATAAAAATACCTGATACAAAAATTAGCTGGGCGTGGTGGCACACACCTGTAGTCCCAGCTATTCAGGAGTCTGAGGCAGGAGAATCACTTGAACCCAGGAGACAGAGGTTGCAGTGAGCTGTGATCGCCCCACTGCACTCCAGCCTGGCGACAGAGTGAGATTCTGTCTAAACAACAACAAAAAAAAAAAAAAAAAAAAAAAAAAAACCTGATAATTGGTCCCACTACATAATTCCCAAGATAATTAATTGTAAATGAATTGTAAGTAAAGTCGATGTATATCAATGTCCCAAAAGATTTGATAAATAAAAATCTGAATTAGGGTAGATGATTATAGCTTTTATTACCTGTTCTGCATTATGAGTTGAAGATACTGTGTTAATTTCCTGTCACTACTACAATAGATTACTACAAACTCAGTGGCTTAAAACAACACAGATTTATTATCTTATGGTTCTAGAGGTCTGAAGTCTTGAATCAAGGTATCAACCTTGATCTCCAGGTCTGCATTCCTCTTGCAGGCTCTAGATGATCATATGTTTCCATATCTTTTCTAGCTTCCAGAAAACACAGAAATTTCTTGTCCCATGGCCTTTCCCACAATCTTCAAAGCCAGCCGTGTAGCTAACTTCTCTCCTCCATGACCTCTGCTTCATCATCACATTTCCTTCTTTGACGCTAACCCTCCTTAAATAAATCCTGAAATATCCAGATAATAGCCAATGTCAGGATTTGCAAAATACCTTTTGTCATGTACAGTAACACATTCACTGATTCCAGGGATTAGGACACAGTAATGGTTCATTTTATGTGTCACCTTGACTAGTCTATGGGGTGCTCAGTTATTTGATCCACATTATTCTGAGTGTGTCTGTGTGAGTGTTTTTAGGTAAAATTAACTCTTAAATTGGTAAACTATGTAAAGCAGATTGTCTATGCTTATCCAATCCATTGAAGGCCTGAATAGAACAAAAAGGCTGATTTCCCTGAGTAAGACAGAATTATCCAGCCTTTTGACCTTCAATCAGGACATTGGCTTTCTCCTCCCTTTAGACTTAAAATGAAATATTGACTCTTCTTGAATCTCAAGCCAGTCAACCTTGGAGCTGGAATTGCAGCATTCCCTCTCCTGGTCCTCAGACCTCTGGACTGGAACAAGAACAAAATCATTGGCTCTCTTGTATCTCCATCTTGCCAGCTCAGCCTGCAGATCTTAGGGCTTGGCAGCCTCCATAATTGTATAAGCCAATTCCTTGCCATAAATCTCGTGTGTGTGTATGTATATATATTTACACAGGCATATGTGTGTATATATATTTATATATACACACGTATGTGTGTAGTATTTATGTGTACACATGCATGTATGTGTGCATATATACATGCGTGTGTGTACATATATACGTGTGTGTGTGTGTGTGTGTGTGTGTCCTATTGGTTTTGTTTCACTGGAGAACCCTAATACAGATGTAAACATCTTTTGTGGGCCATTATTCAGCCTACCTATCCCAGGTACAAATATGCTCACACCCTTTCTGTTTCTTAATTAATTATTTTTGCACCCACTAGAATAATGTCTCTTGCATGAATCCAAGTTGCTGAAAGTGTGGCCATCAAATCCCCTGGGGTCCTTAAAAATGTAGCCCTTTGGGGTCTATGCTGGAATTCCTGTGGGGGATACTGTGAAGGGCTGCCCAGATCCTCCTTCAACACAACACCTATTGCACAGATGATGGCAGGGATGTCAGAAAATAGCCTTAAGCTATAGCCCAAGACCGCAGAAGCTACCTTCCCCAAGGTACACCCTTCCCAGAGCATACTTCATCCAGTGACTGATGTATTCAGCCCCATAAAGGTCTGGCCATCTCTGTCTGATTTTGAGCACCTCTGAAGTTTCTTCCTGGTGCCAGAGCACCCCATGGGTGCAGTTGCACCTACAATGGCCTTGACTTCTTCTTCTGCCCTCTCCTGCTTCCTTTCCTTCCCTGCATTGGTGATGAGGGACTTCTTAATAAACATGTTTACAAAGGAGACCTCAAGCGACTCTTTCTAGAATCTAGGAAATCCGTTCCTAGAGCACTGTGCTGAGCCCTGCATATGTAAGCTTAACTCTATTCTGGAGTCTATTTCCTGGAAACCCTACCTGAGATATCTACTGTATTCATTTCCTATTTCTTCGGTAACAAATCACCAGAAACGTAGTGGCTTAAACCAAAGCAAAATTATTCTTAGAGTTCCGAAAGTCAACATTCTAAAATCAAGGAGTCAGCAGGGCTACATTCTTTTTGGAGACCTGAAGGGGAAATCCATTTTATTGCTTTTATAGCATCTAAAGCACACCTGCATTCCCTAGCTAGCGGCCCCTTCCTCATGTCACTCCCATGTTTTGCCTCTGACATCACATTTCCTGCTGCTAAGGCTAAACACCCTGCCTCTCTCTTATGAAGACCCTGTGATTACAGTGGGTGATTACAGACTCTCCAGTACAGTCTCCCCATCTCAAGACCCTTCATGGCATCTGCAAAGGCCTTTCTGCAATATAAAGCAATATATTTACAGGTTATGAGATTTAGGACTTGGTCATCTCTGGGGGACAGTTATTGGGCCTACCATACCCACTGAATCGGAATCTCAGAAGTGGAGTTGTATTAGTCCATTTTCACACTGCTATGAAGACATACCTGAGAGTGGGTAATTTGTAAAGGAAAGAGGTTTAATTGACTCACAGTTCAGCATGGCTGAGGAGGCCTCAGGAAACTAACAGTCAAGGCAGAAGGGGAAGCAATATGTCCTTCTTCACTTGGCAGCAGGGAGAAGAAGAATGAGTAAAAGGGGTAACACCCCTTATAAAGCAGTCAGATCTCATGAGAACTCACTCACTATCATGAGAACAGCATGAACGTAACTGCCTCCATGATTCAATTACCTCCCACTGGGTCCCTCCCACAATACATGGGGATTATGGGAACTATAATTCAAGATGAGATTTGAGTGGGGACACAACCAAATCATATTAGGTGTCAAGAATCCACATTTTTTGGCTGGGCACACAGTGGCTCATACCTGTAACCCCGGCACTTTGGGAGGCCAAGGTGGAAGGATAGCTTGAGGCCAGGAATTTGAAACCAGCCTGGGCAACATAGCGAGACCCTGCTATCTCTACAGAAAATTAAAAAGTCAGCCAAGTATGGTGGCGTAGGCTTTCCCAGCTACTCAGGAGGCTGAGATGGGAAGATTGCTTGAGCCCAGAAGTTTGAGGCTGTAGTGAGCTACGATCACTACTGCACTCCAGCTTGGACAACACAGCAAGAACCTGTGTCAAAAATAATAATATATATTTTTAAAAGAGTCCACATTTTTTATAAGTCCTTGAGGTAATTTTTACGTACATTTGAGTTTGAAAATTGCTTTCCTAAATCAATATACTAAGTTCTGGCCTTAATTCAGCTTGGCTTATGGTGTGTTTATTTTCAGGTTCCTTGACATTATTTCTGATCAATTACAACCATTAAATCCATCGGACATAAAATAATACCATTGAACTTTAAATGGGAAAGGGTTCTCCCTAGAAACCAGTGAGTACAGGCAGAAGCAGCTTTTGAGAGCCACTGAAGCTCCTCCCCCAACTCCCATTGCCCCAAACCACTACCCCTTCCCACAATAGTTGCCTGCTCACCACACCAAAAGGGACATTAATTCAGGTGAGAAGCATTAAAAAATCTGTTTCGAGACAGCTGACTTATTATTCAAATACCAGATAAAAACTGGTAAAAACTTCACACACACACACACACACAATCACATACACACAATCACACACACAATGTTAATTTCTGTTTGACCAAGCCCCTGTTACTTCCTTTCCAATTAAATTTAACAACTGTTTCCTGGCAGTCTTAATGCTAAGTCCAATGCTGCCTGCCTAGGGTTTTGTAGGAGAACAGAGCAAGTCCTAGAGATCTTGCAGCTTACAAAGTAGTAGACTGTCTTTAGAGTTAAACCTATCTGTGTGTGTGTGTGTATGTGGACAAAGTTAATATATTTTGTCTGTCAAAGCTATATGCATATATATAAACACATACAGCACAAACACATATACATATATATTTATTTAAGTATGCTTATAAATGCCTTGCCTTTGTTTGGACTACGTTGCTTCCAGACATTTAAATAAGCAAACAACCAAAGAGACTGACGAATCACAGGTGATAAACAGGTGTCCTAGGGTCTAGAAGACAGGGAGGAGGAGATAAAAATGCTGGAGTCCATGAGGCTCCTGAGTGATGTCCGCAGGAGCAACAACGACATTCTCATCACAGGGAAAACTCCGGCCCTCTGTAATTACAGTCAGCCTGAGGTTCCTTTTAGACTATTGGTACTCTGGGAATAGTTTGCATCTAAATTAAAATTGGACCTCAAAGCAGTCAGATGAGGTTGCATTTCTACAGATAGAAAAATGTGACAGGCAGGTTACTAATTGCTGGGGAGTTCTGCACCAGTGGCTGCAGAGAGCAGAAAAGGAGACAATAATTAAGCAGGTGGAGGTGCACTCAGCAAGAAGAACAGTAGAAAACCAACTGGGTGTCAGAAACTCACCCCTGGAATGCATGATTTCTCCTACCATATATTACATGTATAACACATAAGTGCATGTTTTATATATAATGTTACTTCTTACATTACTTTTCTAAAATATATAGGCAATATATATAGAATAATGTAAAAATAATAGTATATATAAAAACATGATATATAATGCTATTTTTACATTATTTTTATAAAATATGTATAGTCACATATAATATATATATTTTTTCAATACAAAGTATACATTTATATAAAATATAGTCTTACTTTTTAAAATTTAATATTTTTTTTGAGACAGGGCCTTGCTCTGTCACCCTGGCTGGAGTGCAGTAGTACAACCACGGTTCACTGTAGCCTTGACCTCCTGAGTTCAAGCAATCCTCTCACCTCAGCCTCCCAAGTAGCTGGGACCACAGGAGTGTGCTAACCTGCCCGGCTAATTTTTGGATTTTTTGTAGACATGGTGTCTCACCATGTTGCCCAAGCTGCTCTCAAATTCCTGGGCTCAAGCGTTCCTCCCACCTTAGCCTCCCAAAGTGCTGAGATTACAGGTGAGAGCCACTGCACCTGACCCAGTCTTAATTTATGACTTATTTAAAAATTTGTCTCTTTGATGATAAAATAAATCATCTCACTAGAAAAACTCTAAGAGTGAGTGCAGCAGCCACACAACTTTTGGTTAGGGCTCCCCTTTGGTGCCTGCTTTGCCATTCTAAATATTTATGGGGCCATTAATAAATACATCTGTCTGTACTGCCAACATGACATGGCAGGGTATTATGTTAAGATAGGGAAACTACTTTGTCCTTAGGACCCCTCCAAATTTTTTTTTTTTTTTTTGCTTCTCTAGAATAATAGACACCATTATGAGGAAGGAAAAAATCTGCATGCCTGCCCTCAGACCTGCGCATTGAGTTATTTACTGATGAAATTCCTAAACCTCCATCATAAGAACAATGTAGGGCATCTCCAGATTCATGTTCCTTCCTTATGGGGCAACCTCAACTCTCCTCATCTGTGAGAAACTGGTTGCATCCAAGGGCTTTGTTACTTCTTTTGCTCCATGGCACAATCATTGCTGCATTTAGAAAATCAGCTGACAGAGTGTGTAAGGGACCATAAGGTGATATGGTTTGGCTGTGTCCCCACCCAAATCTCATCTTGAATTGTAGCTCCCATAATTCCCACGTGTCATGGGATGGACCCGGTGGGAGATAATTGAATCATGGGGGCGGGTCTTTCCCTTGCTAGTCTCATGACAGTGAATAAGTCTCACATGATCTGATGGTTTTATAAAGGGGGGTTTCCCTGCACATATTCTCTTCTCTTGTCTGCCACCATGTGAGACGTGTCTTTCACCTTCTGCCATGATTGTGAGGCCTCCCCAGCCACGTGGAACTATGAGTCCATTAAGTTTCTTGCTTTTGTAAATTGCCCAGTATCGGGTATGTCTTTATCAGCAGTGTGAATCAGCAGTGTGAAAAAGGACTGATACATTAGGTAATGTATTTGCTGTTGAGAGCAGGGTCAGCTGAGGGGTGGGGAGCCTTGTAGGCCTGTCCTGGTGAGTGACACATCCATCTTCACTGTCCACTTTTATTAAAACATGGGGAATCACAGACATGGAGGATGACCACTCAGCTTGCTGTTTCTCTTTCTCACTCTCTCCAGGTTCCTGTACTTAATTCCTTTAGTTTCTCAAGATAGATGATGGCCAAAGGCAATATTTACAACTAATCTAGATAGCTGCTTCAGTGGAAAGAATTATAACTCTCACTTCTGCCCACGAGGACCAGCCTTATTTGTGAACCCAGAGCAGATGCCGTCTGATATTTATGTCTATCTCCCTTTAGTAAATCTTTATTAAAAGGAGCCTCTTCCGTCTGTATCTCAAGGCTTCATTCTTCCAATTTTATTAAACTTATTTTTATAAGCTACATGCTGTGTAAACATGTGTGTGCATGTGTGCCTGCAAGTGTGTGTGTTCTGTTGACTCATCCTTGAAGGAGTAAATAGGTCCATGATTTTATTTGATATTTACTCATTCCGAGTTATTTATTCATATGTATTCATATGAGTAACAGAGTGGGCAGACTGTTCTTAAATCCCCTCACTGACTGATGTTGAATTCATTGGTAGGGTTTCATAAGGATAAATGTCCAGGAACTCAGTGGCCTGGGAGGTAGAAAAGGATCCAAGGTTCAAGGTAGTCCTGGAAGAGGAGAGTTTCCTCTGTGATGTGTCCTCTTCATGCTCGGTGGTTTCACTGCAGTAGTGTTCAGCTGTCTATGCCTGTCTTTCTGTTTGGTTGTCCTCTGTGTTGAACAGACCCAATGGCCAGGCCCAGCCTCACCATTGGACTGCTTTTTCTGGGTGAATTCTGGCCACCCTTCCCTGGCCCCAGCTCGGTATCAGAGCTGCCCATGCTTGGGCTTCCCATCAGTGTTGCTATACAGCCTGTTGATCCCACAAAGACTTCCCGGTGATGTGGGCTCACCTGCCCCATGATCTGCCCACTCTTTATGCCTTTACCTGCATATTAGGACTGGATGGTGGCTTCTTCCAGAATCTCCATGCCAATGGTCGTTCTGCTGTTTGCAGGTATTAGGAAACCCCACTCAAACTGGCTTTAGCAAAAAGTGGCTCAGTGTAATCAGTGTAAATAAAATGTGCAAGGGAATAACTGACTTTGTGTGGATTTATGGACTCAAGGAAGTCATCACAATTCCGTTTCTCTCCTCTTAACTCTGCCATCTGCAGTGTTGGCTTCCTCTTCTGGTATAACCACCAGACTCTAGTTCCAGGCTCTCATTATCTCTATTCCTTCCAGTACCTGAAGTTAAAAAAAAAAAATCCTTTATCTGATAACTCCTATAATAGCCCTGGAATTTATAGAATGTCCTCCAATTTGCATTCCTAGCACTGTTTTCTCAGAAGGGACTTTATAGTTTGATTCTCAGTGTTTTCTTTCGATAGAGAGAAAAACACACAGAAAGAGACAGATCTAGAAATATAGAGATAACTATATGCATATTTATAGCTACAATATGTATGCATACATATCCGTACTGATATAGATATAGGCATATTGATGTAGACATAAATAGAGATGTATCCAAAATGTCATGGCTTTTATTGACATATGGATAATTACCTCTGTATTAGTCAAGGTTCTCCAGAGAAACAGAACCAACAGGACGTGTATATGGAGGGAGAGAAAGGCACTGATGATAAGGAATGTGCTTATGCTGTTAGGGAGCCTGAAGAGTCCTGAGATCTGCAGTCAGAAAGCTGGAAGCCCAGAAGAGCCAATGTGTAGTTCCAGTCTGGTCTCAAGGCCTGAAAACCAGGAGAACTGACGGTGTAAGTTCCAGTCCAAAAGTTGGCAGCCTCAATACAAAAGAAGAGTTAATGTTTTGGTCTGAGTCTAAAGGCTGAATAAAGACCAGCATCCCAGCTCAAGCAGTCAGGCAGGAGCAATTCCCCTCTTACTTAGCCCTTTTTGTTTTAGTCAAGTCTCCAGCTGATTGGATGAGGCCTACGCACATTAGGGAAGAAAATCATCTTTACTTGGTCTACCAATTCAAATGTTAATCTCATCAAGAAATACCTTCACATACACACATGCCAATCATCTTTACTCAGTCTAACAATTCAAATGTTAATCTCATCCAGAAATACCTTCATACACACACGCGTACGCACACATGTGCACACACACACACAGAATAATGTTTGGCCAAATGTCTGGACACCTCATGGCCTAGTCAAGCTGACATATAAAATCAAAACTGTCACAGTCCCCCTATAAATTGATGTATAATAATATAAAAACATTTTTGTTGTGGACAAAAAAATAATATATTTCTTCACAACTGTACAAAAATGTCATTAAAGATTTTTTATGGTATCCAAGAAATGGAAATAATCTAAATGCATATCGTGTATGAATTTAAAAAAGTATTTTATCCATGCAATAGAATATTGCTCAGCAATAAAAAAGGAATAGCCTGTTTATTTTATTCTAAAAATAAAAGTAATTACTTTTGCTCTAACCTAATATTTATGCAAAAACCTGGGTGAAACTCAAAAAATGGTGAGGAGTAAAAGAAGTCAAACACAGAGCACCAAACATGTAATTCCATATAATTAAAATGCAAGAGTAGACAAAACAACCATGGTGATAGACAGATATCACAACCATGTTTGCCTCTGGGGATTGCATTGACTGAAAATTTGCACAAGGAGTTTTTCTGGAATGATGGAAATGTTATTTATCTTGATGAGGATGTGGGTTGCATGGGTGCGGGCATGACTAAAACATTTCAGAACTCTACCCTGAAGAATTCTATGTAAATTATACTTCAAAGAAGCTGTGTCATAGGAGAACAGTTATCATCAAAAACAAAGACAAATAAATACCTTCGGTAAAAGACCCTTCACTTATGGCCAGACACCCTTCTCCCCAAATAAAACTAGAGGGGTAGCCTCAGGGAGGAATATTTATGTGACCTTTGGAGGCAGTGTTAAGCTTCACAGCTACAGGAGGAAGAATCTAACTGAAGAGGAGAAGAAACAGTGGGCACCTTTGCCCTCTACAAGCAGAGCATCTCGCCTGGCACCTGGCACACTCAAGTGTAGAGAATGGGAAACAGGCATGGATTAACTTTAATTTTCTTCATTTTCCAGGTTGGGCCCTGGGGCAGCCAGAGCTCCTAGACTGGTCACCTCTGACTTCAAGTGTCCTCATCCATTTCCTCCCATGCATTATACAAATGTTATCATTATCTATATGTTCATCTTGACCATAGAAGGTTGAGAAGCACGTCTTTATTCAATCAGTCCTCCCCTTCCCTGTCCCCTCTGATGGTCATTGCTGGTTTCCAGGTGCTTGTTTGGTTCTAAGTGGAACTCTCCATTGGGTTCCGTGTGGCCTACTGAGGTCCTGCAAGGTACTGGCAACCACAGGCCATTCTGCAGCATCTTTCAGTGCTGACCGTGATAACTCATCACTTCCAACTCATTCTGGAGACACTGGGCAGGTTTGGGCAGTGTTTTCTGAAGACCACAGCCAAGGTTTAGGTTATTCTGGGTTTCCTTGAGAATGGTGGTATATACCCAAAGTATTATAAATCACGCTGCTATAAAGACACATGCACACATATGTTTATTGCAGCACTATTCACAATAGCAAAGACTTGGAACCAACCCAAATGTCCATCAATGATAGACTGGATTAAGAAAATGTGGCACATATACACCATGGAATACTATGCAGTGATAAAAAAGGATGAGTTCATGTCCTTTGTAGGGACATGGATGAAGCTGGAAACCATCATTCTCAGCAAACTATCGCAGGGACAAAAAACCAAACACTGCATGTTCTCACTCATAGGTGGGAATTGAACAATGAGAACACTTAGACACAGGAAGCGGAACATCACACACCGGGGCCTGTCATGGGGTGGGGGGAGGGAGGAGGGATAGCATTAGGAGATACACCTAATGTAAATGACGAATTAATGGGTGCAGCACACCAACATGGCACATGTATACATATGTAACTAACCTGCATGTTGTGCACATGTACCGTAGAACTTAAAGTATAATTTAAAAAAAAAAGAGAATGGTGGTAAGCAATCGCTTTTATAGCACAATGCCTACTGAATTCAAGGATGGGAAAAGAGATAGTCAAAGGTTTTCTGATTGAGTAAAAGAACTGTAAACCCATGACAAACTTAGCCTGATTGCCAAAGCCCACAGAGACCATGAAAGTCACCTTCAATGGAAGCCAGCTCTTTCAACACATTGTAAACTTAAGAATCACAATCTGACGAGTTCCACATCTTTACTTGGGGATAAAATAGACCATCTGCAAGAATAACTAAAGAGAAAGTCCCTAGCTTTCATTTGGAGCATGGTTTGGACTCATATTTACCCTATATTTAGCAACAAGTATTAAAAATCTGACCAGGTTCATCTCCCACTTGAAGATGAAATAGACCTTCTCAAAGAAGACGTAGAAAGAGGGCCCTTAGCTTTCATTTTAGGCATGGTTTCGGTTTATATTTAAAGATGGAAATGGTCACTAGAAGACAAATTAAAAGCTCTCAAATACAAGTGTTTAAGCCCAAAAACCTCATATCCATTCTTGAAGAATGAAGAACAACCTAATGAAGCCAATGGATAGTTTGAATGAAAATGCTGCAGTTCAGGAAAAGTCTAAAACTGTTTTCACTAGAAGCTGAAAAATGAAAGAATGGGGAACATGAATGAATTTTCAAAAAATCCTATCTTTGAGTCTTGAACAAAGACATGGCCCAAGTCCTAAATAATAAAAGTGAGTTCATTCACTTCTCTGATGGACACCTGCAGAAGAGAGCTGTCCTCCCAGAGGGGAATGTGGATGGCAGTGACTGGGAATTGCATACCAAGTGAATCCAAAAGTAGAAACGACCTGAACAGTCAGGCACAAGTCATTTTTGCAGAAACCAGACTCTGCTGCTAAGTTCACTGCTTCTTTAAATACCCCAGGAAGAAGAAAGACAGGATATAGACAACAAGACATCTGAAGGAAAAGCAAATAATTGAAGTGATCTGAGTTCAAATTAAAATTTCCAAATTGAGCAAGCATCTTTGCAGTCAGAAAATGTACAATCAGAAAGTGAAATTCAAAAGCTTCAGCAGAAATTCAAAATACCATCTGAAATATATTGGGAACATATAACAAAACGCCAAAGCAAATTACTTGAGGAAGAAATTTACCACTTATAGAATGAGAAGACATTTTCTGAAGTACATGAAAATGTCAGCCATGCCCCCTAAGTACCTCGAGATGACCCAAAGCTGGCCAAAGTGCTTGAATGTACCACTTTTTTTTTTTCTTCAATGCCAGATTTTCTCCTATGGGGAAGAAACTTGCAAACATTGGCTGTCAGTGATGTCCACTGAGAAAAAGCTTAGTAACTTAAGAAAAGGTGATGTGCATGACAGTCACTAATTACCTGAAGAAGACTCTACATATCAGCTTTTATCGACTCACTCTTGTGGCCCTGCTGCCCCAAACTCAGCCCTGGGCAGGTGTCAGGACCACCTCGGGGATCCCTTGGGAGATCGGGCTCTAAGGTCAGAGTCTGAGCAAGCAGAGGTGGGCCACTGAGTAATAAAGCTCAGTCTGTATCCTGTCTCTGCTGCTCAGGTTTACCAGAAATCACCTCATTTCTTGAAAAATCTTATGAATGTATAATTTTATGCTTTTTATTATTTGTGGAGGGGCAGGAAGAAGTCATATTTTATGACAATAGCCATGCCTGTGCTTAACACATTAAGAATTTAACATCTTCTCACTTCTTTTACCATTTTTGAAAGGAGCAAAAGCAAGACAGATTGAGAGAGAGAAGGAAGGAGAAAGAGAGACAGAGAGGAGGGAACACAGAAGGGGAGAGAGGGAGAAGGACAGAGAGAGGAAAGGAAAAGCAAAAGGAAGGAAGGAAGACAATTTGGAAAAACAATAAAAAAATACTAACAGGCAGACTATGGACAATTGGGATGATGCCAGTTTGAGGGATAGTGTCTTTTCTACTGCTCAGACCAAAGGTCAGTGGCTTCCCAGGCTTTATATCTTTCAGAGAGTCACTGGGAGCACCCTCTTCCTCTGGGTGGCAAGCTCTAAGGAGGCAGGGCTCAGCTCCCAGCAGAGAACCTGGTATAGGGCAGTGCCTACCAGCTGTCTGAAGAATGAATGAATGAACAGTGACTTCAGATGTAGCTTGATCTAGGTGCTCAATTTGTGTCCATAGAAATAGCTTCATTTCTCATATATGTTTCTGGGTTGGACTTATATATTTACAGGTAGGCTTCTCCATGTATCATAGCAAATTGGGCTGCTCCAGGCTTACAATGTAGCAAATTGGTACTAGGTGCTCAGACCTCACAAGCACCTGTACACTCAGAGAGAGGCTGTTTTTCCAACAGTTCCAGGCCAAATCTGTGGCTGGCTCTTACTGATTTATGTTTAGCCACGTGGCTGTCACTGAAACAATCACTGTGGTCAGGGGCAAAGGACATGCTGATGATCCAGGCCAATGTGATGGGATGAGTTGACACCGGTGTGGACCACAAAATAAAAGATAATAGGCCAGGTGCGGCGGCTCACACATCTAATCCCAGCACTTTGGGAGGCCGAGGTGGATGGATCACCTGAAGTCGGGAGTTTGAGACCAGCCTGGCCAAGATGGTGAAACCCTGTCTCTACCAAAAATACAAAAATTAGCTGGGCATGGTGGCGGGCACCTGTAATCCCAGTTACTCGGGAGGCTGAGGCAGGAGAATTTCTTGAACCTGGGAAGCGGAGGTTGCAGTGAGCCAAGATTGTGCCGCTGTACTCCAGCCTGGGCACTAGAGCCAGACTCTGTCTCAATAAAATAATAATAATAAATAAAAAATAAAGATAATAGAATCAGGATTTCCCAGTCAAAAATTAAGGTGTGATTACTAGAAAAAAAATAGCCAGAATAAATGCCAGGCAGAGAAAAGCTTCAGAAAAATAAATGGTTTGGAGGTGAGAGTGGGATTCCCTGAAAAAGAGCATCCAGAGTGGTGGATGAGATTTAAACTAATATCACTGCTCAAACAAGCATGCAGTGGTATCACCACCACTGAAGTCTTCCCAGGGCCTCTGGAAAAATCTGGGCTTCTCCCCTGTCCAGGAACACCGCATGGGCCTCTGAATTGTAACCCCCTCCTTAGTGTTAGTGAAAGGCATCCCCAAGACCAGCACTGTGGGAAAAGAGGGAGTCCCCTCTTACTCTGCCTAAGGTGAGGTCTTCTTTAGGCCCTCCACCAAGTCACACTGGAGTAATTTCCCTTGGAAGTTTTCTGAGAAGCCCTGTCTGTGGAGCCAGGATTTTCTTTTTCTTTTTCTTTTTCTTTTTTTCTTTGAGATGGAGTTTCACTCTTGTCACCAAGGCTGGAGCGCAACGGCACGATCTCAGCTCACTGCAACCTCCACCTCCTGGGTTCAAGAGATTCTCCTGCCTCAGCCTCCCAAGTAGCTGGGATTACAAGCACACGCCACCACGTCCAGCTAATTTTTTGTATTTTTAGTAGAGACAGGGTTTCACCATGTTGGCCAGGCTGGTCTCGAATTCCTGACCTCAAGTGATCTGCCCGCCTCAGCCTCCCAAAGTGCTGGGACCACAGGCGTGAGCCACCGTGCCCAGCCCAGATTTTCTTACTAAGACCAAATTCATCAGCCAAAGAGTCCCTCTGCTCCTGAGTGTTAATGATCCTTCCTAAGTGTTGATTGGACCCAAGCTCCAGGCTTCTGCAGCCACAGGGACCTCCCTCTTCCCTGATCACAGTAGTCACATAGTTAGTTACCAAGCTATTATCTCATACCATAAACAATGATCTGAGGAATAGTCTTCAGTACTGCCTGGAGTTTCTCGGGAAGGCCATGTCTGTTTCCCATCCTCATCCACCAGTTCAGCATTTCCCGTGGGCAGCTGAGTCCTTTGGCCATCACAAAATCTTTGCCTACAGGCCCCAGTGACTCCACACTCCTGCTGAGGACAGTGTCACATCTGGTCTGGACATTCAACATGGGAAGAGCAATTTAATAAAAAGGAAGCATCCTTTTAACCAGCAAGATGAGCATTTAGCCAGGGAAATTCGATGACACTGTGGGAAGAGAACTGTGACTGTGAATGCTTTCCCTTCTCACTAAGGATTAGAATCTTATGATGCCTGGTTCTTCATAGGGAGTTGTCAGGACAGGAATAAACACAAACTTTACTTGTACCATTGAGCATACCACGATCTTAGTACACATCTGGGATGGAGCCCCACCCAAATTCCATGTCCAATCTTCTCCCCCTTCCCCCTCTCACTACCCACCAGATGCAGGCCCCAGCCTCTCCATTAAAGCATCACCTTCCTTTCTGCCTTAGATTTTTTTCAAGAACGTTCTCCCCCACCTGGAAATCTCCATGTCTGGTCTTTGCATTGCTGGTTTCTCTCTGCCATTCAGGTCTCTCTGGTTAAGACTCATTCTCAGAGAGGTCTTCCCTAAACACCAATCCGAAGTAGCACCCCAGTTATAGTTCATAACATAGCATGCATATTTTGAATTCTTCACAGCACATATAACCGGCTGGCATTTTCTTATTATTTATTGGTTCATTTTCTTTGTCTCGCTGCTGGAATTTAATGTCCGTGTGTGCAGGGACTGTCTGCCTTTCCCCTGTATATCTCTAGGACTCAGTGTTGTGCATAAAACATATTATGAGCTTAGTGAATATTGACTAAACGACGGATCGACCCCTCATGTCAACTTCATGCACTGGGTGTGACATGGATTCCCAATGTGAAACCATGGAAACACAGGGCGCCGAAGTGTGGCAGTCACGATCACACGTGGAGAAAGAGACAGAGATGGGATCTCACCCAAGTCCGATTTTATGCATCAATAGAACCACACGCATGTGCATTTGATTCTATTCATGGTCCAGTTTTAGAACAGGCATCTTCCATTCCGAATCAAGCTGACTTTTTTCCTTGTCAACCCATATAAAGTATGATGTATGTGTTAAAAACCACACAGACTGCATCCATTCAAAGTATAAAATTCTATGAGCTTTGATGTTGGTATATATTCTGGAAACCACTCCCACAATTAAGATACAGAACAATGTCATCATCCCCAAAAGATTCTTCATCAAAAGGGACTGTATCCCTTTACAGTCCATCCTTCCTTCTGCCCCTGGCCCTTAGGCTACCATAATATCCTATTTGACACAATAAATTAGTTTTCCATTTCCAGAAAACTAAAATAAATGGAGTCAGAGAATAAGGATTATTTTATGTCTGGTTTTCCTTCAGCATAATGATATTGAGATTCATGAGTGTTGCTACATTTATAATTAGTTTCTTGCTATTATTGAGTATTATTCCTTTGTATGTATATGTCATTTAAAAAAAATCTGTACACATGCTGTCACTTTATCATTGGCTGGCTGTAAGAACAGGGATATTTCACTGTCGTTTTGATTCTATCTCAGCCCTACTCAGGGAGTGAGGATTCAGAAATGGAATTCAGTACCTGAGATTCATTCTGGCATAGGATGTTAGTGTTTTGGGTTTTTGAAATTACCCTACATTGACAGTCAAACTCTGCCTTGTGTCTGTGGACTCTTTCTCCCACATGGTTTCCTGTCCTCCCCAGAGGTGGAGAATTCTTGTTTCTATGCCTCTACCAGCAGCAAAGCATCTTAGCCCGTGTCTTGGGAATTTAAAGAGATTGTTGTCTCTCTTAGAAAGGTATGAAGGTTTAGCTCCTACCGCTTCTGGAGAAGCAATAGGTTTTTGCCACTGTCCTGTGGGCTAAAGGGCGTGCTTCCTCTCCCCCAGCAACAAAACGCTTTGGTTAGTTGAAGAAAGACATCTGGGAAGCAGATGGGGTTTTGCGTCCTTCCCTCGGAAGCCACAGATCACCATCTGCATAGCCAAGGCACCCTGGAGTCTCTCTTAGGTAAGACCTGCCCTACCTCCAATCTTTCTCCTGAGCAAAGTCCAGGAAAAGACCTTCCACATGCATTGAACTCTCCTTGTGTCTGGGGCCCCCAGCTACTCCAGACTCCAGCCTGACTCATATGTGGTCCGAAACAATTCATGAAAACTTTATCTAATTTCTTCTTACTCGCCGGTGTGGCAACCGTCTCCTGTCCCATACTCTGGCAAGGGTAAAACAGTCTGAGTGTCCTCTCTCTGGAAGGTCTGGTCCTTCTCTGGAATTGTTTATTTGGTGGCCTTGAAATCTCAGCTCTCTCATGGGCACAGGAAAATGTGTGATTCTGTAGGTGACCCAGGTTTCTCTTGTTACTAGAACAGGAGTGATGTTCTTTACTACTTTCTAAAGCTTAAGCCGGAGGGAAAGCTGAACCTATTTTTTCTTAGATCTTTGCTTTTTAATGCTTCTGCTCTTGCTTCCTCTTATTGTTGAAACATGATATATTACCTTGCTCCAATGGCAAAACCTATGCATAGACCAGAGTGTGAATCAGATCTTAGAAGGATGGCCCCGTTGTCATGCAATAAACTTGAGTCTAAGAATTTCTTGTTTCAAATACTGGAATACTTCAATCAGGAGAAAATCATTCTAAGATGTATTATTTCCATATGGTTAAATATTAATTTTTGTTAGGATAAAGTTTTTTCACAGCTTCAATATGATACAGAATTGAAACTCTATGCAAATTTCCTAATATATAAGACCTCTAAAATTAAAAAAAGAATATGAAAAGATGATCCATCAAATAAAAAATATAAATGAGCAATAAATAGATGGAAAATGTTCAACCTCACCAATAATAAACACTTACGAATTACACGATGTTAACTACACTGATGAAATTTAAAATATATATGTAAAAAAAAATAGTATCTAAATGTCAAATAAGTATCAAGAGACTGGCCTGGTGCGGTGGCTCACACCTGTAATCCCAGCACTTTGGGAAGCCAAGGCGGGTGGATCACTTGAGGTCAGGAGTTTGAGACAAGCCTGGTCAACATGGTGAAACCCTGTCTCTCCAAAAATCACAAAAATTAGCCAGGCATAATGGTACATGCCTATAGTCCCAGTTATTCAGGAACCTGAGGCATGAGAACCACTTGAACCCAGGAGGCAGAGGTTCCAGTGAGTGGAGACTGCGCCATTGCACTCCAGCCTGAGTGACATACTAAGACTCTGCCTCAAAAAAAAAAAAAGTATCAAGGGACTGATAATTGTGTTTGCTTCTGAGGAATTTTTGCAAACTTATTGGGGTTTACAGTATGCATTAAGAACCTTAAGTATATACATACAATTTAACCCATATTTTCCACACCATGATATTTACCCTGTAGAATAAATCACAGAATGCAAGCAATGATTTAGTTCAAATATGTTCACTTATACATTGTTTATAATAATGAAAGGTTGGGGATAGTCTGTGTCTAACAATACTGAATTGGTTCTATCATAAGCTGTAAATTAGAAACCTATGAGTTAAATATCAGAAGCCAACAATTTTCATTTGGCCCGCCCACTGAGCTAAATTAAATTTGAATTAGTTTCCTGGCTAACACGGTGAAACCCCATCTCTACTAAAAATACAAAAAAATTAGCCAGGCATGGTGGCAGGTGCCTGTAGTCCCAGCTACTCGGGAGGCTGAGGCAGGAGAATGGCGTGAACCGGGGAGGCGGAGCTTGCAGTGAGCTGAGATTGCACCATGGCACTCCAGCCTGGGTGACAGAGCGAGACTCCATCTCAAAAACAAACAAACAAACAAAAAATTTGAATTAGATGACAGTATTTGTAAAAATCATTTCCCATATAGAATTCCAGAGTTCTAGCTTCTCTTAAAAAAACATAGAAAGACATGGAATAGTCTATTCCAGTGTGAAACAATAAGAATAACTAAATTTAAAAATTAAAAAAAATCCTTTGGCTGCAGCTAAGTAATAAATGTCCCCTTTAGCCTGGCCATGCGTTGTCTGGTTCTCTAACACTTATTACATCGTGACTGTAAGAAGGTAAAATTTTATAGATTCCTGTCAGAATCCTATAAGCATTGTGTTTATGACACTGGAATGAAGTAGCCAACAATGCATCCATATGATGGAACACTAGTCATTCATTAAACCATGTAATAAATGTTACAAGTTATGTAATATGTACATGATTCCTTTATTTGCATGTCTCTGTGTGTGTGTGTGTGTGTGTGTGTGTGTTTTGAGACAGGGTCTTGCTCTGTTGCCCAGGCTGGAGTGCAGTAGCATGAACACAGCTCACTGTATCCTCCAGCTCCTAGGCTCCAGTGATCTTCCTGCCACAGCCTCCCAGGTAGCTGGGACTACAGATGTGAGGCACCATGCCTGGCTAATTTTTTTTGCAAAGACAGGGCCTCACTATATTGCTCAGGCTGGTCTTGAACTCCTGGGCTCAAGTGACTCTGCCTCAGCCTCCCAAAGCACTGGAATTACAGGTGTGAGCCATCATGCCTGATCTGTGTTAGGTTTTTGTTTTGTTTAATGTTGCTTAACAAATCACAAAGTAAATGGCTTGAGACAGCACAAGTTTATCTCACAGAGGGTCAGGAGTCCAGGCACAGCTTCATGAAGCACTCTGCTCAGAGTCTCAGAAGGCTGCACAGTGTCAGCCAGGGCAGCAGTCTCATTTAAAAGCTGGGGTTCTCTTCCAAGCTCATCTGATTATGGGCAGAATTCCTCTCTTGCAGCTGTAGAGCTCGTGATTACTTGATTCTTCAAGGCCAGCAAGAATGTGTCTCATTGCTGCTTCAGGTCTCTGGCCACAGGAAAGCCTGAAGTCCCCTTATGAAGAGCTTGCCTGATTAGGTCAGGCCCACCATGGACTATTTATTTTTTTGAGACGGAGTCTCACTCTGTTGCCCAGGCTAGAGGGCAGTAGTGCGATCTCGGCTCACTGCAAGCTCCGCCTCCCAGGTTCACGCCATTCTCCTTCCTCAGCCTCCCAATTAGCTGGGACTATAGGCACCCACCACCACACCCAGCTAATTTTTTGTATTTTTAGTAGAGACAGGGTTTCACCATGTTAGCCAGGACAGTCTCGATCTCCTGACCTCATGATCTGCCCACCTCAGCCTCCCAAAGTGCTGGGATTACAGACATGAGCCACCACATCCAGCCAATCTTTGTATTTTTAGTAGAGACAGGGTTTCACCATTTTGGCTAGACTGGTCTCGAACTCCTGACCTCAAGTGATCTGCCTGCCTCAGCCTCCCAAAGTGCTGGGAAAACAGGTGTGAGCCACCATGCCCAGCCGACATTCTTTTTTTTTAATTAACTCAAAGTCAACTGATTAGAAAACTTAATTACATCTACAAAATTCCTTTTCTTTTATCATAGAGTGTAACATATCCATAGGTTCCACCCACACTGAAGAAGAACAAACATACCAAGGGGTATGATTCAGAGTCCAACCTAGAATTCTGGCTACCACAGTCTAAATGCATTTTGCAAAGAACAAAAGTCTAAAAATCAAATGAAACATCAAAAATGTGCCAAAATTATGACCCTTGTTTCCTCTGAATTTGAAATAACTTACAAATTTTATTTTCTTCTCTGCAATTACCCACATTTTCCAATCTCCTATGTTAGGAAGTGTTACTTTTGCAATAGGACAAAAATAAAGACAAAGTAAGACAATGAAGCCCTGGGTATTAGTCTGTTCTCACAATACTATAAAGAACTGCCCGAGACTGGGTGATTTATAAAGGAAAGAGGTTTAATTGACTCACAGTTCAGCATCGGTAGGGAGGCCTTAGGAAACTTACAATCATGGCAGAAGGTGAAGGGGAAGCAAGGCACTTCTTCAAACGGCGGCAAGAAGGAGAAGTGCTGAGCCAAGCAGGGAAGAGCCTCATTTATTTATTTATTTATTTATTTATTTATTTATTTATTTTGTTTTGTTTTTTGTTTTGAGACAGAGTTTCTCTCTTGTTGCCCAGGCTGGAGTGCAAAGGTGCAATCTCAGCTCACTGCAACCTCCACCTCCTGGGTTCAAGCAATTCTCCTGCCTCAGCCTCCCAAATAGCTGGGATTACAGGCATACGCCACTACACCCGGCTAGTTTTGTATTTTTAGTAGAGAAGGATTTCTCTATGTTGGTCAGGCTCCTCTTGAACTCCCGACCTCAGGTGATCCACCCACCTCGGCTTCCCAAAGTGCTGGGATTACAGGCGTGAGCCACTGCGCCCAGCTGGAAGAACTCTTTCATGAAACCATCAGATCTCATGAGAACTCACTCACTATCACGAGAGCAGCATGTGGGAAACTGCCCCCATGATTCAATTACCTCCACCTGGTCTCTCTCTTGACACCTGGGGATTACGGGGATTACAATTCAAGATGAGATTTGAGTGGGGACACAAAGCCTAACCATATCACCCTGTTTACATTATTTGAGGCCCAAGAACTAGTCAAGCCTGATACCCTGGACTTACACATCGGCTGACAAATTTTCGCTTTTAAAAAACTAAGCAACTTTGAGTCGTTGGGTTTTTTTATTTTTATTTTTTAAGTCTCTTGCACCTGAAAAGAGCCACGCATTTGGAAATAAAATCACTAAGTAACACTACTACCTGTCTGCTTCCTTACTCCAGAGCTATGCCTAGGGCTGCTCTCCACATCCAGCACTTCCTGGGATCAGGGCTACCCACTTGTGTTTATTTTTAAAACTGACCTACATTCCATGACTAAAGTGGGAAGGAATCTATAAGTGCAAGTTGCCTTTGCAGCGTCAGGGAGAAAGGCAGCAGAGCTGCGGAAGACATGGGCACAAGGAAAGGTCAGGCCTCGGGGACTGTGATCCCAGCAGCTCTGGAAGCTTTGTGATGTGCACAAAGGTAAATCACAGCAGGCCATGGTCGAGGAAACACAGTCACAACACTGTTTTAGTAGAAATGAGTTGAGAGAGAGATTTTAGGGGAGCCCTTTTATTTTAATGAAATCTGATATAACAAATTGGACCTCACCAAAGTTTGTCCTGAATAAAGTGACAATGATAAGCTTCAAAACTCAGAAATATGCAGCCCAAAGGTATACATACCAGTTTGTGCATTAAGAAATGACGTTTTTGAAGGAGGAGAGAGAGGGACGTAGGGCACGTGCATGACTGATTGATTACAGTTCTGTCCACCCTCTATATGCCATTCGCTATCACAGATTTCGATCAGTAAAAAGCTATTTTCTTAAGAATTCTTCCACCGCTGTTAAGAAGAGAGTACATATTTGTCTTGAGTGTGCAAATAATTTCATTTCAGCCACTCAAGCACCAGAAGAAAGTAGGAGCTGGGGCTGTGCAGAAAATCTGACCATGATGTAACCCTATGTTCCATTTCTAATTATGGACACGGAGACTAACTTTCCACAGGTTTGGAAAACAAAGTCTCCATGGGCACATTGGTGGCATTCATCCAGCAAAACATAAAACCATTCTTTTCTCAGATTCCTCCTTGTTTTCTCTTGTATTTTGATCATCCTCTAGGATGACAAAATGGAAGAGATTTTACATAAACCATCTTCATAGATGACTCTGAAGATTATCTGTTACATTTTGGATGGTGGAGAATAAAAGCTATTTTTTTAAAGCCTCATCTGCAAAGGAAACTTATTTCTAAATACTCGAGTGTCATATTATTAACAGAAGATTAGTTTCTGTTTTAATTAGAAAACTCTAGAGGATGCTTAGGCCAGTAGCAAACAGCTCTTCCTTGCTCTGGTTTGGGGACATTGGCAGGTGGTGACTATTATTCCAAGCAGGCCCCTTCCCTAACTTTGTTTCAGAAGGCATGAGGTTCTTTATGGTTCTGTGTCCGTGGGTAAGGCTGCAGCTGCTGATTATGCTAATTCTCGCTTACTTGCAAATAGGCCTGTGTTTATTTTGTGCCTCACCAGCTGTCAACAAAGACATTTTAGGAATAATTCCCACATTTAAAGGCAGACTTTGTTCTAGTGTCCCACTGTGAGCTGTCCCAGCATTAGACGCTTCCAGGGTTTGTGTGGAGAGCTCTGAGGCTAAAACAGTGGGCAAAATCCCAGGGCAGCATTCTCTGCCAATTTGCCCATCGCCTGCTCTGTCTCCCTTCACCTGTGAATGATCTTCGCCTTAGTGGGAACTCTCGCCCAGCTTTTTCGAGAGGAACCTGAAGCACTACTCTAACGGGCTCTTCATAGATTTGGGAGATGCCTCATTTTACCGTAGTCAGGGAGGTTGAGGCTTTCATTGCTTCCTAATCGGTTTGAGAAAACACCTTCTCAACTTGGAAATTCTAACGATCTTCAGAAAGCCTGTTTTACCGTTCCAAAGGCTTTGAAATGCATTCTTATTTAGCAATCAGAAGGGAAAGCAAACGACATTTTTTAAGCAAATAGTTGTGTTCTGAATCTTACTTTAGGGTTATGTTCTATTTATATGTTATAGTCCAGATTTAATTTTATTTGATTCCATGGAAGAAGTAGAGGAATTTTTAGTTTGCTTTTGCAACTGGTGATACTTCAAATAAAAAAGGGAAAAAAGTAAATCAAAGAGCATTTAATTTTCCACTAGTGTTTTTTCCTAACCATTGTCTCTGCTCAGCCATCTTTTTAGTTAATAAGTGAATTTGGA